>NC_000007.14:149912925-150064440 GCF_000001405.40 Homo sapiens
TCCATTTTCCTGGGCTATTCCTTATATATTAATAGTATCAAATACACTTGAAGTTTTGTTACTTTGAATAATCATAATGTAACAAACATCAAACCAAATTTGAGACATTCAAATTTAAAATTTTAATAAAATCTGCACCAACATAGGCTCATCCATCACTAACTTCAATGACAATCTATTAAATATAACTCAGTAGATGTCATCTAAAAAGTACGCATCCTCAAATTCTTTCCCAGGAGGAGAACTCAATGCTAGACTGGCCTGCCCCATTAGAGATGTTAACATCACAGCTCAATGCCATGAAGAGCAGGACCAAAAAAACAAAAGCAAAACATAATTCTTAAATATGGCAAGTGCTCAAGACACCATTTACCAAAAAAAGAAACGTTCCCTATTTCAACCAGTTTACTAGCTAGTAACAATGTAGCAGGCACTGTACTAGTCACTGAGCCGTACTCAGACTGAGGATAGGGGAGGCGGGTGGACATGGCCCAGGTCCTCAAAGTGTTCCTCAAAATGTTTACCTATTAGTTACAGGACTTCAGATTGAGCTTTCCAGTTGTAGCATGGCTTACTTTACCTGGAAGGCAAGTTTAAGATCTGGGTAGGCATCAAGGAAGAATAAGCCACATGTGGCTGACCAGATCACCTGGGAAACTCCGGAAACAGATTCCCAGGGGCCGTGCGCGATTCACTAAATGGGAATCTCCAGAGAAGGCTGGGCATCTGTGTTCTTAACACCCCTCGCTCACCCGCATGGTTCTGGCGGTCAACCAGCTTAGAACTCACTGACCTCAACTACGCCACATGAAGTCACCTTTAGCATTTTTATATAATGCAAGCTTCCTCACTGTCACATTATACCACAACCTTCTTCCACCCACCACATTTAGCACGATATATCTATAATACTGAAGTTTAATACTGGTCAGAAGTTCAGAAGAAATAACTCATATGTCCCTTTTTTTTTTTTTTTTTTTGAGACAGTCTCACTCTGTCACCCAAGCTGGAGTACAGTGGTGTGATCACGGCTCACTGCAGCCTCAACCTCCTGGGCTCAAGTGATCCTCCCACTTCAGCCTCCCAAGTAGCTGGGACCACAGGCACATGCCATCACACCCGGCTAAGTTTTTTTTTATTTTTTTGTAGAGAGGGGTCTTCCTATGTTGCCCAGATTGGTCTCAAACTCTTGGGCTCAAGGGATCCTCCCACCTTGGCCTCCCAAAGTGCTAGGATTATAGGTGTGAGCCACCGAGCCCAGCTACCAAATGCAGCAATTTTGTCTTATTATTTAAAACACTGTGTGTTTAGGTACTCTATGAAAAAAAATAATGTAGGAAATGCTTTCCAATTCAAACTATGCAATTAAGAAGTAGTGAAAAAAGGCCAGGCACAGTGGCTCACACCTGTAATCCTAGCACTTTGGGAGTCTGAGGTGTTGGATCACCTGAGCTCAGGAGATCAAGACCACCCTGGGCAACATGGTAAAACCCCATCTTTATACTAAAATACAAAAAATTAGCTGGGCATGGTGGCACGTGCCTGCAGTCCCAGCTACTCAGGAGGCTGAGGCACAAGAATCGCGTGAGCCCTGGCGCCACTGCACTCCAACCTGGGCAACAGAGTGAGACTTTATCTCAAAAATAAATAAATAAATAAATAAACAAACAGAAGTAGTAAAAAAAAAAAAAATCTAGGCTCAATCCAGGAAAGTAAAAAACTTAAGCTAAAAAGGGAAAGATTCCTTAGGAACAGATGATGGGAGAAAAAAAAAATCTCAAACCAAAATAAAATGAAACACTAGAAGAATCCTTATTGAAGCCAGAATTAAGCCAAGGAGATCTACTATCATTATTCTGATTTTACACTGTTTAGGAAGAATTAGATATTACAAATCAAAAAGAACAGAGTAAAGGAAAAGGATTTTGGGAAGAAGGAGGAGATTAAAATTTAATTCTTTTTTTTTTTTTTTTGGACGGAGTCTTGCTCTGTCACCCAGGCTGGAGTGCAGTGGCACAATCTCGGCTCACTGCAACCTCCACCTCCCATGTTTGAGCGATTCTTCTGCCTCAGCCTCCTGAGTAGCTGGGACTACAGGCGTGTACCACCACGCCCTGCTAATTTTTGTATTTTTAGTAAAAACGGGGTTTCACCATGTTGGCCAGGCTAGTCTGGAACTCCTGGCCTCAGGCGATCCACCTCGGCCTCCCAAAGTGCTAGGATTGCAGGCATGAGCCACCGCGCATGGCAAATTTCATTCTTTATAGATGATAACTGTATACCTTGAATAACTAAGGAAATTAAGTGAAAAACTAAAGCAATAAGGGAATTAAAAAAGATGACCAGTTACTAAATGAATAGACAGAAATCAACAACTACCCTGTCTAACAATAAGAACATATAATGGATGAAAACATCCCACTCAGAATGGCAACAGCAATAGAATGTTACCCTTAAGAATACACTACATAACTACATGAATAAGCTATTACTCCTACCCTTAAAAATAATATTGCTCTTTAAATAAACTCTCTATGTACAAGCAGACAAATAGAGACATGCCTTAATCTTACACAGGAAGAGTCCATTTTGTTTTTTTTGTTTTTTGTTTTCTGGTCAATTGGTTCAGGATGAGGAAGAGTCAATATTTTTAAAAGAAATATTGAATATCACTAAATCTACCTACAAATTTAATGCAAAGCCATTCAAAACTGGTGCCAATACTGAAGGTGGTGGTAAATTATACACAGGTGATAGTAAAGGGTTAAAGAGCCATTATAAAGTGTCACATTAGCTATCAAAAATTTTAATGCACATACCCTATTAGCCAAATAGTGCCTTTCTAGGAACCTACCCCACATAAGTATTTGTACATGTATGCAAAGATATACACACACAAAAATGTTCGGTGAAGCACTATAATAGCAAAACCACCACCAGAACCTGGAAACACTCAAAATAGAGGATATATTAAATAAATTATATTACATCCATTCAATAAAATTCTATACAACCATCAAAAATGAAGATGTATACTTACTGCCATAAACGGATATATAATATAGCTTGAAAGTGCTTGAAAACAGTATATATTTATAATGTGAGGCCAGCTTAATAGGGACACAATGCTAGGTTCAAATCCCAGCACCAGCTATGTGATTTCAGGCAAGTAAATTAATCCCTTCATTCCTTGGTTTCTTCATCTCTAAAACGTGGGTAATAATCCCTACCTCAGTGTTAAATGTTGCCATTTTTGGATAATATTTCCTAATTCAAAAGAAGTAGGATTTCATGGTGCAGTGATTTATTTACTTATTACTGAATATTATTTTTTGTATACTAGTGATCTCTATTTCTCTCATGAATTGTCCTTGGATAACTTTTCTACTGGAGTTTTAGTGCTTCTTATCAATTTGTGTGAATGCTTATACACTGAGGATATTTGTGCTTGCTCATTACATTGCTAATTTTTCCCAGCTTGTTGTTTACCTTGTTATACATTTTCTGCAATATAAGTATTTAAACAGTCTAGGTGATCAAATCTACCAATTATTTTCCTGAATAATTTCCTTTATTATGTTTCTACTTTGAAAGTCCCTCTATATGCTAAAATGTCATATCATTTCTCTTCCACTTTTATATATATATATTTTATCCCAAATGGGAAGAACTACACTAATCCAATTTTCCCAAACATATGTATATAAGCATTCAAGACCATCAACTTTGCATTAAAAGCCCTTGGTTTTTTTAACACTACCTTCCCAAAGCTAGCATGATGGAGGTAGGCACTACTCTCAAAAATACATAAACTATACTTACAGATTGCCAGCCATGTTCTCAAACTCACACCACCTTCCATGAGTCCCTTAACTTGTCTGAGACCTTTTCTCATACAGAAATCAGGAAAGACAGAAGAGGAAGCTATGGAAGCAGACCCAATCAATAGCTGCATAAAGCACTACCAATAGTTACATGTCTGCCTTTTAAGCAAAGAATATGTTATAGCTCAAAATTCAAAGCAATATAAAAAGGTATCCTTTAAGAAGTCTTACACTACCCCATTTCTGCCTTCTATCCACCTTCTATTCCTGTGTATCTTTCCGATGCTTCTCTCTGTACATACAATATATTATTATTTGCCCCAAATATTTTTTTTTTTTTTTTGAGATGGAGTTCCGCTCTTGTTGCCCAGGCTGGAGTGCAATGGCGCGATCTTGGCTCACTGAAACCTCCGCCTCCTGGGTTCAAGCGATTCTCCTGCCTCAGCCTCCCGAGTAGCTGGGATTACAGGCATGCGCCACTACGCCCAGCTAATTTTGTATTTCTAGTAGAGACAGGGTTTCTCCATGTTGGTCAGGCTGGTCTCAAACTCCCAACCTTAGGTGATCTGCCCGCCTCGGCCTCCCAAAGTGCTGGGATTACAGGCTGAGCTATCACACCCAGCCTGCCCCAAACATTTTAAACAGTTCTTGCACGAAGACTCTTTCACTTTACTTGTTAAATGCTCCTATCTTTTGACAGCAGTAATATGTAGACTTTTCAGTTCTGCAAAGTCAGGAAAATTAACCTATTGTTGACTCAACATATTTATATATAATTGAAACTCCTCTTCCAACCATGTGTCTTAAGCAGAAGGTAATGAACCTAAGGTCAATTAATTTATGTTTGAAAGTAGAAATGTTACATCTTAAAACAGTGTTTTACATCTTTTTTTTTTTTTTTTTTTGAGACAGGGTCTCACTCTGTCACCCAGGCTGGAGTGCAGTGGTGCAATCATAGCTCATTGCAGCATTGACCTCCTGGCCTCAAGCAATCATCTGCCTCAACTTCCTGAGTGGCCGAGACTATAGGTGCACGACACCATGCCTGGCTAGTGTTCTCAAACTGTGTCCTGTGAGAAGTTCTTTTGATTGAGACCCCTGGTGAGGTCCAGTCTCAAACCCCAAACTTCAATCAGAATAGCTCTACTCCCTCTTAAGATTTTTCACAGTTTAAACATGGTTTTGATAAAAGTAAAATTGTTCCCAGACGCTAACAATAGTTTTAAAGCAACGCACAATCTCCATATTGTGCAATGTAAATTACATGACCAATTTTTTTAATGTTCCTTGGCTTGCTGCATAGAAAAGCATAGTCTCTATAGAACGAAGAATTCAATATATAAAGTTCAAACTTAAATATTTTATCCAGATCCAGTATCTTTGCCCGTCCTTAAATTTTCTATTTCTCCTTCTGAGTACTTTTTTTTTCTCTATGTTACTTCGTATATATAAGATCATAAAGCACACTGCCCTTTTGTGAATTCTGAACATTGTTGTAAGGTAAACTCTGACTTCCAGTTAAAGTGTTTTAAAAGTGTTTTAACTGTTTAAATGATGGACTAAACATATTATCTAATTTCACTCTTTCCCAAAGCCCCACTAAAACCAAAGCAAAAAAAATTTTTAAGCAATTATTTTAAAAATTAAAAAAAAAATTTAGGCCAGGCGCAGTGGCTCACACCTGTAATCCCAACACTTCGGGAGGCCGAGGCAGGCGGATCACCTGAGGTCGGGAGTTCGAGACCAGGCTGGCCAACAGGGAGAAACCCCATCTCTACTAAAAATACAAAACTAGTCAGGTGCGGTGGCGCATGCCTGTAATCCCAGCTACTCGGGAGGCTGAGACAGGAGAATTGCTTGAACCCAGGAGGCGGAGGTTGCAGTGAGTTGAGATCACGCCATTGCACTCCAGCCTGGGCAACAAGAGCAAAACTCCATCTCAAAAAACAACAACAACAAAAAATTTAAAGCAATATTAAACCATGAGGATGTGGAGAAAAGAAAAGGTGACAACAGCAAGATTTTGGCCCTGAAAAGCTGAGGACCCATCGTGCCTGACTTTAGAGATATAAGAAAGACAGCAGGGGCAAGAGCTGAGAACGAGCCCAACACACTCCCTAGATCCTTAAAGGCTCTGGAACTTGTTGGTGCCCATGTACCTGTGGGACTGGAATAGGAGGGCTGAGGAGCAAGTGCGGACAGCCCAAAATACTCAGGCCATGGTGAGACCCTCTGCCGCCCCACACTGCTGGGCACTTGCTCCTCCCTGGCTTCAGCCTTCTCTACAAGTTTTCCGGAATGTGTAAAGCAAAGGTTCTCTGCACCCACAGTTAACTGGCAGGGTCGGAGTACAATGATAAAATCAAACATTTTTAAATAAACCAAAAAAATAATAATTAAACCCTTGTTTCATTTAATTTTTTTTGTTTTGCAATCAAATAATACTCACGCTTTCTTTTACTGTGCATTTGTTTGGCTTATTTTTGAACCATCCTTTTGCTTTTTTTTTTTGAGACAGAGTCACTCTGTTGCCCAGGCTGGAGTGCAGTATCATGATCTCCACTCCCTGCAACTGCCACCTCCCGGGTTCAAGCGATTCTCCTGCCTCAGCCTCCTGAGTAGCTGGTATTACAGGCATCCACCACCATGCCCAGCTAATTTTTGTATTTTTAGTAGAGACGGGGTTTCACCATGTTGGCCAGGCTGGTCTCGAACTCTGACCTCAAGTGATCCACCCACCTCGGCCTCTCAAAGTGCTGGGATTACAGGCGTGAGCCACCGCGTCTGGCCCCTTTTACTTTCTTTTTTGAATTTTTTTCCAACCTTTTACTTTCTGAATGAATGACTTATATGTAACTACCATAGTTTTTGTTTAGTACAGAAAGTGAATTTAGTTGAGTCCATGCCAGGTGAGGTCATCTCAGGTGCAACAGTCTTACTCGTTTTAACTTTTGTACTATTCCTTGTTGTTGCCTGTTTCCTTTTACTCTGTAATCTATTTTATTTGGTTGCTTTTCTTCCTCTCAATTTTACTTTTACTTTTACATTTCAAAGGTATACAAAGTCTGTTTTTAGCATAATAGCCTTCTCAATTTATCAATTTCAAAAAAATGAAACAGTATTCCTTAACCACATATTCTGAAAGATACGACAATTAGCACAGTGGTATCTCCCACTCCCCAGCCCAAACCTAACCTAATCCCCCATGATATTGTTGACTTCCAGGAAATTTTGCTATGGCATGTTATCATTGTGTTGACATTTTTAAGGTTGAGTCGGTATTTATTCAATTGTTTTTGCCTTCTGGCTTATTTCTCCAAGAAAGATTATTCAATTATTGAAGCTGGTATCTTTATACTTCAACCTCTCTATTTCTGGAGCCCTCACTGATTCATCTTTCAGTTGGCTGGGTTATATCTGCAAGTAGATTTTTCAGTGAGGTTTATGAATGCCATTAATTCCTGAGCTTTTGCCCATTTGCAAATGTCTTATTATGCTGCATTTTAATGACATTTCAATCCAATCACATTGTCTTCCTTCTTGCCCTAACTCCCCTACTCTTGTTTTTTCCTTTTGAGCCAGAGTCTCGCTTTGTCACCCAGGCTGGAGTGCAGTGGCGCAGTCACAACTCACGGTAACCTCGAACTCTTAGATTCACACTATCCTCCCACCTCTGCCTCCCAGGTTACTGACACCACAGGCACGCATCACCACACCTGGCTTTTTCTTTTAGGGGGCAGGGGGACAGAGACAGGGTCTTGCTATGTTCCCCAGGCTGGTCTCCAACTCCTGGGCTCAAGCAATCCTCCTGCCTTGGCCTCCCAAAGTGCTGGGATTACAGGCATTAGCCACTGTGCCCAGTCCCCCTACATTCTTAAGCATTGCTTCATCATCTTTTGGCACATTACACTGTTGAAAACCCCAAGACTAAGGTGATTTTATTTTTTCCATTATAGGTGGCCTGTTGGCTTTTTTCCTGCTTAAATATGTGTAGTATTCTTTTATCTTTTAGGGGTTTGTTTTGTTTTGTTTTTGAGATGGAGTTTCACTCTCGTTGCCCAGGCTGAAGTGCAATGTCATGATCTTGGCTCACCTCAACCTCTGCCTCCCAGGTTCAAGCGATTCTCCTGCCTCAGCTTCCCAAGTAGCTGGATTTACAGGCATGCACCACCACACCTGGCTAATTTTGTATTTTTAGTAGAGATGGGGTTTCTCCATGTTGGTCAGCTGGTCTGACCCCAGGTGATCTGCCCACCTCGGCTTCCCAAAGTGCTGGGATTACAGGCGTGAGCCACCGTGCCCGGCCTATCTTTCAGGTTTTATAAATTAACCAGGATACGCTTCCATTTTAATGACTCTGAATTTTTTCCAGTTCACAGTGAGTCCTTATATTAATATTATATGATCTTTCATTATATTCCAGGAAAACTTTGTCTTTTATTTATTAATGTTACATCTGTTCCACACACTCTGTTCTCTTCAGCAGGAACACCAGCTCTGACTACAGTAGATGCCTTCTGGACTCTTCTCCCACAGCTTCCATCTTCTTTCTAATCACCATGACCTCTTTGTTCTTTCCTACCGTGGTCTACGTAATTTCAGGAAGTTGATCCTCACATCAGTGATTTCAGAACCACTGGTACTACCTCATGTAACCTCCAACATGCTTTTAATTCCTGAAATGATTTTAGTTTTCTATTTCTTTCCTTATGGATGTCAGCTGACCTCCATCTCCTCCTTTTAGCTTTCTTTAATCTTTTAAAATTACTTCTTTGTTCTTTTGTTTTATTGAGCTCGTGTTGTCTAAATTTAAGAGCAAAGTGGCTTTATCTAAAATTCCATTCTAGCTGGGCACAGTGGCTCACACTAGTAATCCCAGCACTTTGGGAGGCTGAGGCAGGCAGATCACCTGAAGTCAAGAGTTCAAGACCAGCCTGGCCAACATGGTGAAACCCCATCTCTACTAAAAATACAAAAATTAGCCAGGCATGGTAGCAGGCACCTGTAATCCTAGCTACTCGGGAGGCTGAGGCAGGAGAATGGCTTGAACCCAGGAGGCAGAGGTTGCAGTAAGCCGAGATCAAGCCACTGCACTCCAGCCTGGGTGTCAGAGCGAGACTCTGTCTCAAAAAATGAAAAAAAAAATAAAATTCCATTCTAATTACTGAAGTACTCTTTCCAAAGTATACTTTTTCATCTATTTTTGCTTGTTATGTTTCCTTCCTTATTTTCTGTGCGTAGTCCCATGATGGGTCCTTTCTGCTTCACACTCAGCTTTGAATGGGTGCAGGTCTCCCTGGACTTGCTTGCTCAGTAACAACTCTTCGCCATGCTTACAATGACACTGAATACAATGTCTTGAAATCTCTGTGTAGTCCTCTGGTTGTTTAGAAGAATTGGCTGAACAGTGAGCAATCAGAGCCTGAACTTGGGTATACTTTCCCACTAATTCTACTAAATCCTTTGTTCTGGGTGTATATCTAATTCCAAAGTTCATTGTGGAGGACAGGCGGGTTTAAGGGGAAATGCCTTATCTTAGATATTAGCAATTCCTGATCAGATATAAGCTGGTCATCCTCACAGATTTTCTCCTTTAGTCAAACAAAGTCAAAGAACATAATGACACCATTACTACATGATCCCTCTTTCAGCCCAGCATGCCCTGCTATATTTTAGGATGGAAAGGAGCTGCTGCCAGAATATGCTTCTTTGGCAATGGTCTATTCATCCATCAGCTCCTAGCTCTGCTGTAACGACTGTGAGTAGTACCTTCAGATACGTATGCTTAGACACCTGCAACCAGCCAGAGATGGGCGGGGATGCCACATCTCAGTATCCTCCTGCAAATGGATCCACACTTCACTGGAAATTTCATAAAATGTGATATGAATTTTAGCTGTTTTCTTCTCTATTTTTGGTTAGTTTTGTTCATTTTTAGGAGGTTCCAGGAAGTAGTGTTACATGAATGTATATTTATAGCACCATATGCCCAATAAACTATTAAAGAATCTTTTAGTATGAAAAGGATATAAGACATATGGTAAAATCAATGCTACAGAGAACTTTTCCTAAATGAAGCTTTTATGGCAGTTGTAAGGGGAAGAGTATAGTAATTTATGGCTCTGTCCTCTGTCAATACAGGTCCAATGCAACATGAAAAGAATGCACATAAAATAAATTTGTTGACTACTAATAATTTTTATTAATTAGAAATAAAAGGCTTTTTTTTTTTTTTTTTTTTTTTTTACAAATCAGATGCTGAAAGGGAGAAAGGGGGAGGGGAAGAAGAGATGCAAGCTAATTTCATAATTACTCATAGTTGGGAGCCAACAGAAAACAGCCACAAATAAAAGGACTATATATAATGATAACAATTAGACAAAAATACAGTCTGCCCTAAAGTGCACCAAAAAAGATATTAATAAAATAAAGTGGACTACATGGCAAAAGATTATGTTTAAATACATATATATGTAAATATTGCAAAACTGAGGCCAAATATATCAATCATATCAATACATATAAATATGCTTAAATCACCTATCTATGAGTATAAATGAGCTTAAGTCATCCAATAAAAGGCAACATTTTCATATTGACTAAAAAGCAAAACAATATTTTGGGTACAGACAATTCAGAAAGAATAATAAAAGGATGGACAAATATATATATATCTATATCAGATAAACACAAGGAGAAGCAAGCAGGGATCACACATCTTGATATCTGACAAAGTAGAACTTGGCTGAGAAAACAATTAGAAGGCTACTTGATATGCTAAATCAACAACTCTAGTGAAGAGACAAGTTATTTCTATCTAGATAACCAATATGGCAGCAACAACTTTCATAAAGCAGAACCCACAGAAAATGCAAGGAGACCTTAATAGGTTACTAAAAATAGGAGGCCTTAGTATGCCATTCTCAGTCCATGACAGACTAGGTACACACACACACACAAATGTGAGCCCAGGCATGGTGGCTCACCCCTGTAATCCCAGCACTTTAGGAGGCAGGGGCGGGTGGATCACCTGAGGTCACGAGTTCGAGACCAGCCTAGCCAACATGGAGAAACCCCGTCTCTACTAAAAACACAAAAATTAGCCAGGCATGGTGGTGGGTGCCTATAATCCCAGCTCCTCGGGAGGCTGAGGCAAAGAACTGCCTGAACCCAGGAGGTGGAGGTTGCAGTGAGTCGACATCACGCCACTGCACTCCAGCCTGTACGACAGAGGGAGACTCAGTCTCAATTAAAAAAAAAAAATTGGAAGCCCTAAATAACATAATTAATAAGGTAGTTCATATAGACACATTAAACTCAGAACTTATAAAGATTGTATCTCCTAGCCAGGCACGGTGGCTCATGCCTGTAATCCCAGCACTTTGAGGGGCCAAGGTGGGTGGCTCACCTGAGGTCAGGGGTTTGAGACCAGCCTGGCCAACATGGTGGAAGCCCGTCTCTACTAAATATAAAAAATTAGCTGGGTGTGATGGCGGGCGCCTGTAATTGCAGCTACTTGAGAGGCTGAGGCAGGAGGATTGCTTGAATCCAGGAGGTGGAGGTTGCAGTGAGCCAAGATCGCTCCATTGCACTCCAGCCTGGGCAACAAGAGTGAAACTCTGACTCAAAAAAATGAATACAAAGAACATTCGCAAACCCTCTTAGACCACAATAAGTGAAAACAAACAAACAAACAAACACCAGAACTATCCCACTAAAAATCAGGAATAAAATAATAATGCCCACTAACTCCACTCTGATTTAAATTAACATTGCTTTGGAGGTAATGGCCTCTGCACTGTGTCAATAAAAAAGCGGTTAAGAGTCCCTAAAAATGGAAAGGAAGAGGTAAAACAATCTCTTTTGCCAATAACACGTTTTGGTTTTTATTTTTGAGACAGCGTCTGGCTCTGTTGCCCAGGCTGGAGTACAGTGGCTCAATCTCAGCTCACTGCAACCTCCACCTCCCAGGTTCAAACGAGTCTCCTGCCTCAACCTCCCATGTAGCTGGGATTACAGGCGTGTGCCACCACGCCCAGCTAATTTTTTTGTATTTTTAGAAGAGACAGGGTTTTGCCATGTTGGCCAAGCTGGTCTCAAATTCCTGGCCTCAAGTGATCTGCCTGCTTCGGCCTCCCAAAGTGCTTGCAATTACAGGTGTGAGCCACTGCGCCGGGCCCAGTGACAAGTTTTTATATCTGAAAATCCCTAGGGATCAAGGGAAAAATTTATACAAATAATGTGAGCATTCTGTAAAGCAGCACGTTATAAAATGAGTAACTACCATGAAAAACCACCATGTAATCTAGGAATGAAAAAACTAACAATCTTCATATATTCAAGAAAAACAAGATAAAATCGAAGAGAAGGCACCATTTATGATAGCAAAAAAAAATCAAATACATAAAGTTAACAAGAAATCTACCTGCAGAAACACCACAATATTCCTAAAAGACACAAAATAGAATTGAACTAATGGAGAGATAAACCATGTTCTTTGATGGGAAGACTCAGTATTATAAAGATGATGATGTTCATTAAATTAATTTTTAAGTTTAATAAAATCCCAATAAAAATGCCATCAGGCTTTCTCTCCCGGAACTAGAGAAACTGATTACAAAGATCACTTGGAGGAACAACAATCGAAAACACATGGGAAAGCCCTAAAAAGGAATTAGATGGGCAGGGGAAGCCGGCACCATTAGAAATGAAATCATTCTAAAGAGCCTAATTAAAACTGTGTGGTGCTGCTATTATGAACAGACCAATAGACTAACACAACACAATACAAAATCCAGAAAGAAACACAATTGCATAGACAAATGCAGCATATGATAAAGGCAGCATCTCCAGTCATTGGGTTTTTTCCATAAATTATGTTGAGATAAACAGGACAGCCATAGCCACACACACACAAAAGTGGATCCCACTGGGTCCATTCTTCATACCTTATCTCAGGATAAATTCCAAATGAATTAGAGATTTAAATGAAAAAAATGAAACCATTAAAAAAAAGAAAAAAAACCTACCAGCTGGGCACAGTGGCTCACATCTATAATCCCAGCACTTTGGGAGGCCGAGGCAGGTGGATCACCTGAGGTCAGGAGTTTGAGATCAGCCTGACCAATATGGTGAAACCCCCTTCTCTACTAAAAATACAAAAATTAGCCCGATGTGGTGGCATGCACCTGTAGTCCCAGCTACTCGGGAGGCTGCAGCAGGAGAATCGCTTGAATCCAGGAGGTGGAGGTTGCACTGAGTGGAGACTGTGCCGCCGCACTCTAGCATGGGCAACAGAGTGAGACTCTGTCTCAAAAAAACAGAAAAGAAAAAGAAGAAAAGAAACCACCATGTAATCTGGGAATGAAAAAAACCTTTCTTATGACTCAAAATCTAGAAACAATAAAGAAAAGATGAATAAATCCGATTGCCTAAAGAAAACAAACTTTGCATGGTAAAAGACAAATGATAAATAGGGGAAATATATTTGCAACGTATATCATTAAGGGTTAATATTCCCTATGTGCAGAAGAAAGTTAATGGGCCTGAGACTGCTGTCTCTTAGAAAGTCCTGCTTGGAGGAATGGCCTTTAATTGGTATCTAGGATCTTGGAGTTCAGGTGTTCCCACCATTCCCTAAATGCTAAAAGTAGTTCACTGCTCCTAGAGTGGCAAACAACGTGGTTTATGCCAATGCCTTGCTTTCCTTCTGGGACTCTGGAATTCTGGCATGTGCTATGCACAGGGTGTCTGCATGACAAGTCCCCAGTGAAAACCTTGGGCCCTGAGTCTCTGAGGAGCTTCCCTGGTACGGAGCATTGCACACATGTTGTCACAGCCTGATGCTGGAGGAATTAACTGCATCCTGCACGGCTGCACTGGGTGAGGACTCGGGAAGCTTGCCCCGGTTTCCTGTAGGCTCCACCCCACATCTTTTCCCTTGGCTGTTTTTGCTTTGTACATTTTCACCGTAGTCCTGATTCCTCCCAGCAAGTCACTGGAACTGGGAGTGGTCTGCGGAACCCCTGAACAGACCTTAATACATGAAGAGCTTCTAAAAATGAAGAAGCAAAAGACCAAAACCCCAGAGAAAAGTTAGAGAAATGAAGAGACCGAAAAAAATAAATGCGAAGATTATCATAATCATGAAAGTGGGTTGTTAAAATATGAAGTTCAGCCTTCTCTCGTGCTCACAATCTCACCCACTCTTGCCCTTCCTTCTTCCGCCATGGGATGACACAGCACGCAGGGCCTCATTAGATGCTGGCACCATGCTCTAAGACTCTGCAGCCTCCAGAACTATGAGCCAAATAAACTTTTTTTTTTCTTTTTTTAAGGTGTGCACTTTTACCGAACTGGTCTCAAGTCAGTGTACAGGTATGCCCTGGCTGCCTCCACACTTCCACCCACTCCCAGGGAGACCAAGAGCCTTCTTACATCTCAAGGTAGGAACAAAAATGGGGACCATGATGGCTGATTATTCAAAATAAAACAAAAAGTATTAAGGTGAAGATTTTTTAAAATGCTGCATTACATAATTTACATGAAAGCAATCCTGTAACCTCCCCTTTGTGGACTCAGGAGAGAACTGGGCCGTTCTCCTGAGAGAAGTGGGGTGGCTTTTGGGAGGGCAAGGGACTTCCTGTAACAATGCATCTCACAATATGTGGAATGACTATTTAAAAAAAAAAAAAAAAAGCCAGGCGCAGTGGCTCATGGCTGTAATCTCAGCACTTTGGGACGCCGAGGCAGGCAGATCACCTGAGGTCAGGAGTTCAAGACCGGCCTGACCAACATGGAGAAACCCCGTCTCTATTAAAAATACAAAATTAGCCGGGCATAGTGGCGCATGCCTGTAATCCCAGCTACTTGGGAGGCTGAGGCAGGAGAATCACTTGAACCCGGGAGGCGGAGGTTGTGGTGAGCCAAGATCACGCCATTCTACTCCAGTCTGAACAATGAAAGCAAAACTCTGTCTCCGAAAGAAAAAAAAAAAGGGCCAGGGTAAGACCCAGTCTCAAAACAAAAATAAAAATAAGTAAGCAAAATAAAGAACGATGTACAATCAAGGTCCTCGGCCACACTGTAGAACTTTGGGGGATGCTCACGCCAACTAACTGCTGTCACCTTCACCATTCTATTCTTTTCTTTATAAATTACCCGGTGTGTGGTATTCTGTTACAGCAACACAAAACAAAGACATTAAGATATCATTTATTCTAGGTTGGTAATTTTACAAATTGGCAATAGGCTCTATTGGTGAGTCTGTAAGACAGAGGCATCCTCACACATTACTGGTGAGAATGCACACTAATGAGTGTAATTTGACACTGCCTAGCAAAATTACATATGCATTTTCCCTTTGACCCAGAAATCCCATTTCTAAAAATCTAAGCCACAGATACTCAGGCAAAAAATACAAAAAGATATCCTTGCTTTCTTTTTTTCTTTTCTTTTTTTTTTTTTTGAGATGGAGTCTCACTCTGTTGCCAGGCTGGAGTGCAGTGGCGCGATCTCAGCTCACTGCAACCTCCGCCTCCTGGTTCAAGCGATCCTCCTGCCTCAGCCTCCTGAGTAGCTGGGACTACTAAAATTAGCCCGCCAGTGTGCCCGGCTAATTTTTTTGTATTTCTTTTTTTTTTTTTTTTTTTTAGTAGAGACGGGGTTTCACTGTGTTAGCCAGGATGGTCTCGATCTCCTGACCTCATGATCCACCTCCTCGGCCTCCCAAAGTGCTGGGACTACAGGTGTGAGCCACTGCGCCTGGCCAGAATGCTCAAAAAATGAAGACATATCTAAAGAATATGGAAGGCCAGGTGCAGTGCCTCATGCCTGTAATCCCAACACCTTGGGAGGCAGAGGTGGGCAGATCACCTGAGGTTAGGAGTTCAAGACCAGCCTGGCCAACATGACAAAACCCCATCTCTACTAAAAATACAAAAAAACAGCCATGCGTGGTGGTGTACACCTATAATCCCAGCTACTCAGGAGGCTGGGGCAGGAGAATCGCTTGAACCCGGGAGGCAGAGGTTGTAGTGAGCTGAAGTCACACCACTGCACTTCAGCCTGGGCAACACAGCAAGACTCCGTCTCAAAAAATAAATAAATAAAAAATAAAGAACATGGGAGTCAGCCTGAATGAGCTTCACTTGGCAAAATCTGGGACAATTTAAGCAATAGATAATAACCCACTGACAACAATGAGGACGGCATAATGGATTATCATTCTTTGAACAGAACGACAACTCCTACAGACAATAAACAAATGAGGCCTATGGATAAGTTCTCCCTTAAAATAAAATGTTAACTAATAAATGGAGACAGAATAATAGAGTTCAAAAATCACCATTTTGCAACCATCACCATAATTAGTAATTCAGGCAAGAATCACCAATGGACCAGGCACAGTGGCTCACGCCTGTAATCACAGCACTTTGGGAGGCCAAGGCGGGTGGATTGCTTGAGATCAGGATTCAAGACCAGCTTGGGCAACATGATGAAATCCCGTCTCTACCAAAAATACAAAAAGTTAGCTGGGCATGGTGGCTCATGCCTGTAATCCCAGCTACCCATGAGGCTGAAGCAGGAGAATTCCTTGAACCTGGGAGACAGAGGTTGCACTGAGCAGAGATTGTGCCACTGCACTCCAGCCTAGGAAACAGAACAAGATTCTGTCAAAAAAAAAAAAAAAAAAAAAAAAGAGTCACCAATGGATACTTAAACTAATGGGTGAAAGTTGAAGAATAGAGTACTTACGTAAAATATTTCCCCACAAATGACTTTTTTTTTTTTTTTTTTTTTGAGACGGAGTCTCGCTCTGTCACCAGGCTGGAGTGCAGTGGCCCGATCTCGGCTCACTGCAACCTCCGCCTCTCGGGTTCAAGCGATTCTCCTGAGCAGCCTCCAAAGCAGCTGGGACTACAGGCACGCACCACCACACCCAGCTAATTTTTGTATTTTTAGTAGAGACGGGGTTTCACCATGTTGGCCAGGTTGGTCTCGAACTCCTGCCCTCAGGTGATCCGCCCGCCTCAGCCTCCCAAAGTGCTGGGATTACAGGCATGAGCCACCGCGCCCAGCCAAATGACTTATTAATTACAAAGAAAAATAGTAACTGAACAGTGAAGAAACCTCGTGGACATCACCCTCTCCAAATGATCCAAGTGAACTTCATCAAGAGTGAGGCGCGTCCCTATCTTAAGTCTTTCGATGGGATGCACTAAGAAGGATCAACAGGACTTCTGTGGTAGTCCTGACAAATATGCATATCCTGTATCTATCACAGAGAAACACTAGGTAACAACTGGCTGTCAAAAATGCCAACATCTTGAAAGACAAAAAAAGGTTAAGAAATTATTCCAGATTAAATTAGACTTAAAAGACATGACATCCACCAGATGCAATGTATGCCGCTGATGGGGAGGTCTTTCATGGGTGACATTCCATAAAAGACATGAATCCGTACTGTATGTAGGATACTACTGTATGTATGTTAAATTTTCTGATTTTGATGATTGGAATGTGATTCTAGAAGGGAAAATGTGTCCTCAGAAAGTACGCATTCAAGTATTTTGATATAAAAGGATATGATCTCTGCAACTTACTCTCAAACAGTGCAGGAAAGTAATAATAATATGTATGGACATACAGAGAGTGACAAAGCAAATGTTAACAGTTGGTAAAACTGGAAGAAGAGTATACAGTAGTTTTTTGTTCTCTTCCAGCTTTCAGTAGCAGTTCAGTAGCTTTCAGTAGCTGTTCTCTTCCAGCTTAACTTCTATTTGCCTACCCACCCTCTCCTCAATGCAGCACATACCACGCCTGGTCCCTCTGAGCCACCATATGGTTTCCATTTGTTAATCATCTGACAGGTCAGCAGCCTGAGACCAAGATAAAATGTGGCAACAGGGAAAGATGAATGGTCTGTTCGCTGGTGTTTTCTTGAAGATTGTTTTCATATTGTAGACAGTTGTGGGGGTGCATGGAAAGATTTCCCCCACCAAACTCAGCACATGAGCCCCACACATACTTAAAATTTTTGTATTGTTTTGTTTTGTTTTTTGAGACAGTCACCCAGGCTGGAGTGCAGTGGTGTGATCTCGGTTCACTGCAACCTCTGCCTTTTTATTTTTTTAAGATGGAATCTCACTCTGTCGCTCAGGCTAGAGTGTAGTGATGCAATCTCAGCTCACTGCAACCTCCGCCTCCTGGGTTCAAACAATTCTTCTGCCTCAGCCTCCCAAGTAGCTGGGATTACAGGCACCCGCCACCATGCCTGGCTAATTTTTGTATTTTTAGTAGAGACAGGGTTTCGCCATGTTGGCCAGGCTGGTCTTGAACTCCTGACCTCAGGTGATCCACCTGCCTCAGACTCCCAAATTGCTGGGATTATAGGCATGAGCCACTGAGCCCGGCCATATGAAAACTTTTCTAAACGTACATACTGTGCTCCCACACTGGGGTTTTGGCTTCTGTAGGTCAGGGAGGGTGCCCTGGGTCTGTACAATATTTTCAAAAGTTCTTCGGGGGAGGATTGTTTCTGTATTCCACGCCTCAGTTTACTAGCACTCCCTGCCAGGTGCCCGTCTTTGTCGGTTTCATCCTCCCCTCTTATGATGCACAGTGCTCCCGCAATGCTCCCTTGCAACTCCTGAGCTCTTATCCACTCTCTCATCCTCTGAGAAGGATGGCTCACAGGTGAGATGCAGGGGTGGGCCCTCCAAGATGACCCTTCACAGCCCTCCCTCCCCAAGAATGTCACAGCTCCAGAAGCAGGTTTGCACCCACAGTGACACGCCATGGCTTTGCATTTCCCCCAGCACTAAGGAGCTGCTTCATGGAGCACCTCTGATTGACAAATCTAAAATAGAGAATGAAAGAAAGTGTCAACCTGGAGGAGTTTAATAACGCTGTAATTAAAAGAAGGAAGAAGGGGCCACATCCCAGTGAGGAAGCAGCTCCTTTAAACTATTGAAGAATATATTGTTCTGGGGGTGCCAACAGCAGAAGAAATTTTAATAACAAAAATAAATTGACAAAAAAAAAGGCAGGAGAGGTATTAGTTGGAACAAAACCAAGTATCTTAAAACTGCTCATTTTAAACTGAGTGTTTTATGGTAGGATAAGGAAGCTCCAATATTTTCAAACACAATTTATGTTTAGAAGTTCGAGTCTCCTCTTTCATTCTGAGGAATAAAATACCCAGTTTCCTTTAAAAGTACAAAATGGCTAATTAGAATGATTATAAATCTAACAGTTATATCCACATAAAAACTTGAGCATAACAGTTCATAGCAGCCTCATTCATACCAGCTGAATAGTGAAAACCAGCCAGGAAGTGTCCAGCAACTGATGGATGGATGAACAGTGTGACAGGTGCATACAGTGGAATATTATTGGCCATAAAAAGGAATGGAGTTTAGATATATTCTATAACACGGATGAATCTTGAAAACAGTACCCTCCATGAAAGAAGCCATTCACAAAAGTCCAAATGACTCCATTTATATGACACGGCCAGAGTAGGCAAATCCACAGAGACAGAAAGCAGAGTAGAGGCTGCTGAAGGCTGGGGGAAGGATGAATGGGAAGTGACTGCTAATGGATACGGGATTTCTATTTTGGATGATGAAAATATTCTAAAATTAGACTGGGGTGATGGTTCCACAATTCTCTGAAAATACTAAAAACCATCTAATCATACCCTTTAAAAGGGTAGATTTTATGGTATGTAAATTATACGTCAAGGAAGCAGTAAAACAAACGTCATGGTCAAGATGAAGGACCACATCAAGTCAAACACAACGACAATGTTTTAAACAGGATGGTGGAGATAATCGCACAGTCATTTGCTGGCTCTTTTGGCACTGTTTGAAAAATCATGGAAATGAGACAGAATGTTCAATGTCTTAATTCCTGGAGGAAGGAGGGAGGGAGCGGGGGAGAGAGAGAAAGAGAAGGAGGGGAGTGGAGGGGAGGGGAGGGAAGGGGACAGCAGGGCGAGACAGGGCAGGGCAGGGCAGGGAAGACTCTTAGACCATAGTCAGAACAACCCAGGCACCTATTCTGAGAAGGAAAATACACGATGGCCCAAGACCTGAACCTGAGCAGAGGCCAGACCTTGGGTGCCTGGAAGAGGTTTGGCGGGGCCAGGCAGAACACCACACTTACGGGTGGTAGCCAAACCAGGCATCGAGTGGAGGAAAGGGATGAGGATCTTTGGGGTGTTTCCACTTGGAAGTCCAGGTGGAAGGCTCAGTAGAGAGCGGGCCTGAGCTGAAGCTGAGTGAGACTCTTGTCTCTGAGGACAGCTGGCAGGAAGAAGGCGTGCCCTGTAGTGAGAGGGGCCAAGCACAGGGAGCCATCCTCACTCACACACCTGCACAGTAGTGGCCCAGGTACTTCCCACCCCTATAGCTCCACCCAGCCCCAGAGATCCTGGAACCTTCTCCAGAGGCTAATTAACTTTCCAAACCTGCTCTTATAGGATAAATCACCTCCAAATCCATCTCCCCACCATCCCCATAGGAAAAATAATTTGCTGTATAAGGAAGCATCATTGCACTAGCAAATCTGGCGATCTTATTGATACATCTGCCTCAGTAATCAGGACACTGATGATTTACATTTGAACTACAGTGCGTATACATCTTGCAAATTAGTTTTGAAAAAATTTGAGGGCTAAAAATATTTTTCAGAACAGATATGTCTCTCTAACACATAATTGTGGACTATCTGGTTAAGCCAGCGAATGAAATTGAAGATACTAAAGATAATTAAAGGATGATTTTTAAATAAAAAAGAAACAAAAAACAATTACAACAAAAAGCCATGAGCAAGTAAAATAATTGAAGTACAAACCCCAAACATGAGCAACACACAGATTCTAGGTGTCCAGCTCGACTCAACACTAGCAACACACAGAGTCTGGGTGTTGAGTTCTACTCAACACTAGCAACGCATAAATTCTGGATGTCAAGTTCCATTCAACACTAGCAAGTTCCACTCAACGCTAGTCAGACTCCAGGTGTAGAGTTCCACTCAACACTAGCAACGCATAAATTCTGGGTGTCAAGTTCCATACAACACTAGCAAGTTCCATTCAACACTAGTCAGACTCCAGGTGTAGAGTTCCACTCAACACTAGCAATGATCAGATTCCAGGTGTCAAGTTCGACTCAATGCTAGCAATGCAGATTCCAAGTGTAGAGTTCCACTCGACCCTAGCAATGCACAGATTCCGGTGTTAAGTTCCACTCAATGCCAGCAACGCATAAATTCTGGGTGTCAAGTTCCTTACAGCACTAGCAATGCATGCATTCTGGGTGTCAAGTTCCACACAACACTAGCAAGTTCCACTCAATGCTAGTCAGACTCCAGGTGTAGAGTTCCACTCAACACCAGCAATGATCAGATTCCAGGTGTCAAGTTTGACTCAATGCTAGCAATGCAGATTCCAGGTGTCAAGTTCCACTCGACCCTAGCAATGCACAGATTCCAGGTGTTAAATTCCACTCAATGTTAGCAATGCAGATCCCAGGTGTTGAGCTCCACTCAACACTAGCAACACACAGATTCCAGGTGTCGAGTTTGACTCCGTACCTGCTGGGTGAAGCAAAAGCTCCAGAGTGTGCCAGGCTCTTGGTGCAAGCTGGATTCCAGGGAATACAGAATGGATCCTGGGAAAACTGTAACTGCAGTCTAATTTTATATATTCAAGAGGTTATTCACATTTAATAACTCCTTTTGTAACCCTTAAGTGTATAGAAAAATGAATGTCTATGGAATTGTGGGTTATTCACTTCATAAGAACCAAAGAGTTGAACTTCATCTTTGGATTAGTTTGGTTCCCATTCCCAAGACACTCCTGGTCCACAAGCAGACTGGGGAGCTTATATGGTGAATCTCAGTTCTAGACCAAGGCCTCCCTCCACTCAGATGAGGCCCTGGCCACAGGCTGGTCAGTGCGGGTTCCCGGGCCAACACCAGGCCTCCCACCTCCCATGCTAGCCCTCTGCCCCACACCACGCTGCCTCTGAGTTTCGAGATGAACCCAAGTGCATTTTCCTACTTTATTCTACCCTTTTGGAAGAGGTGAAAAACAAAATATAGATATTTATAATTAAATAAAACCTTCTTTAGAATACATTTTTAACCAGAGTATGTTTGCTAAAATAATTGTTTAGAGATACACCATACTTTTAATTTTCAGATTATTTTGTCACTTGAGTATTTCAACTCAACTGAGACTTAAATGGTTCAACTTGGTTTTCTCTTCCTTCTTCTCATGGAGAAACCAATATTTTCTTATTCTAAGCCTTATCTTATTCTATGGCTTTTCAGGTGACTAAGAAAACAGACTACTTCCCTTTCAGATGACTTCTCTGAGAAGATCTATGATCAACTCAAGCGCTGGTCTTTGACCTGGAAAATTAAATATGATGTCCCACTCTTAGGAAAAAAAGGTAAATCTGAAGCCTAAAGATTTGGCTTCTGTTTCTGTCCTGGTAGCAAAATAAGACTTGAAGCTTCTGAGCCTCCATCTTCTGAAATGTCACACAGCAGAAGAGGGCTGTTCTCTTTGCAAACTCACAGAGGTGTGCTTTCTGCATGTGCTATGAAAAGGTGAACTTGCTCTACACAGGTGTTTTTTTGTTTTGTTTTGTTTTTGAGATGGAGTTTCACTCTTGTCACCCAGGCTGGGGTGCGATGGTATGATCTCGGCTCACTGCAACCTCTGCCTCCTGGGTTCAAGCGATTCTCCCGCCTCAGCCTCCCAAGTAGCTGGGATTACAGGCATGAGCCACCATGCCCAGCTAATTTTTGTATTTTTAGTAGAGACAGGGTTTCACCATGTTGGCCAGGCTGGTCTCAAACTCCTGACCTCACGTGATCCACCTGCCTCAGCCTCCCAAAGTGCTGGGATTACAAAGGTAATGTGTTCTTATCAGCAGCAATCATGTTACCCTAAACATAACACCAAAAGCAAACAAATAAAACCAACAAGGATACAGCTTTATCTGCTGTTGTTTTTATGACCTCTACATTTTTGGATATATCTATTATATAAAACCTTTTCTATTTGAGAAAAGAGAAAGGTGTGGTGCAGTGCTGGACAGCTGCACTTGTGGGAGCCTCCTGACTGCCCCTGAGTAGACCTGCCACTGCTGGTTGTAAAGGAACTGGAATTTTTAATTTGGGAATTGTAGGCACTTAGTTATGCACAGTCACCCCCAAAAGTATGGAAACTTCTTGCTGTCAGCGGTTTTGCATGTTTCTGGCATTCCCTCCCCGCACCTGCCTGGCTGATTATTAAGTCCTCTTCTGACTGTATTAGGATAGTCATTTCATCGCCAAGGTGACAGAACGAGGTAGGTTTAGGATTAACTAACTCTCTGCTAAGCTAGTTTTCAAGTCCCCCATCTCTGTCTTCTGGAAGTGAGTCGAATGTACATATTAGAAACACCAAAGCTTCAATCTAAGCTAAACATTTGGGTATACCGGGTTTGGCTACTGGCTTCTATAACTTTTCCCACCCACTCCTCACCATGCATGAATGAGGGCCAAGCAAGTGATGAAGGGAGCTTCTAAGCGCCACATCCTCTCACGGCCATGTGTCCTCCAGATAACCCAAGTGTCCCATGAGTTGAACTTTCCATGATAGTTGTATACAATGTAGACCACACAAGCACTTCCTGCCCATCCTGCTCATTTTAGCATAGTTTGTTAGGGGAAAATAATTTACTCTACATGATGACTTTAGAAAGCCTGCATTGGGGAAGCACTTCTGGAAACAGGTGACTTTTCAGCACAATAAAACACTGTACTGAATGGCCTGCAGTGGCCTACAAGCAGTTAGTGTTTATCCTTGAGGACTGTGGCTCCATTTATACATGATACTTGACTATTGATTCAGGATGGAGGAACTCAAAGAACACCCAGAAACACCTGGAGGTCCTGGGTTCAAGTCCTATTTTTGCTACTTAGTGTTCTGGATTGGGTAGCCAATTAACCGCTCTATGTCTGATGTATTTTATTTTATTTTTATTTTTATTTTTGAGACAGGATCTTGCTCTGTTGGCCAGGCTGGAGTGCAGTGGTATGATCAGGGCTCACTGCCGCCTTGACCCTGCTGGGATCAAGGGATCCTCCACCTCAGCCTCCCAAGTAGAGGGATACTAAAGGCATGTGCCACCATACCCAGCTAACTTTCTGATTTTTGGTAGAGACGAGATCTCCCTATGTTGCCCAGGCTGGGCTGGAACTCCTGGGCTGAAGAAATCCTCCTGCCTTGGCCTTCCAAAGTGCTGGGATTACAGGTGTGAGACACTGCGACTGGCCATCTGATTTTTTTAATCTGCAATATAGACATATTACCAACTAATAGTGCTGTCGGGAAGATCAGTGTGAATAACCTGTAGAGAAGGACCCTGTATTTGTAGCGCTTTGTGCTACAAATTCTTTATGCCACATGGGCTTTTTAGGCAGTGCCGTGCCTGATGGCTCCCTGACATCTTTGTGCACAAGTTCATGTCTGGGAGGCAGACTGGATGATGTTAGAGGCGGAGGCTTTATTTTTGTTGAGAGGAGAGAGTAATTCTTTGTGTCTCATAAATATTACCTTTTGATTTAAGTCATCTGATCCATTTGATCTGAATAAAAGCAGACAAGATGAAAGACTTCCATTTAAACATTCTGGATTCTTCTGGATTTAATACGTATTTATTTCCTCTTTACTGCTGAAAATCCACCAAAATAACACTAAATGAATAAACAGGTAAAAATCCACAGGAAGAGGAGTGAGAAGAGAGAACAGCAGATCAGACCTAACATTTCAACACCTGTAATCAAAGACAGACCGTGGGTGGGAGAACACTGGCTGGTTTGGTGGAACTGAAGAAACAGGAACCGAAGTACCTGGCGAGGATGAACGCCAAGGAGAGGCCAAGAGAGGTGTCAGGAACCACGGAGCAGGAGCTCGGGGATGGGAGGGTCCGGGTGCGGGGAAGGGCAGAAACCAGGTGAGCAAGTGAATATGCAGGAAGGTTGAAAGTCTGAATAAGGCGCATTCTGATCCCTTCCCTCAGCCCAGGCACCTGGGCAAAAACCCTCCTCCAGTAACACACGAGATGGGAGGTTGACTCTCTGGAGGAACTGAACCTAAGGTATTCAGGTCTCAGAGACTCCAGTCCCAGCGGGGAATGGGAGGAGGCTCTGAGTTGAAGATGGGACAGTGTGCAAGTGCTTGCATGGAAGAGTGAGACACCCTTCCCAGCCTCCTCCTCCCGACCCGTGTTCTAGAGCAGCAGCAGCCCAGCTATCTTCCCTGGGCAAGAGGTTGAGGGATTCCGCCCTGGGAAAATGAGGGGGCTCCAGAGAAAAGTCCATCAAATAGGAGAGTCCTCAGTTTAAAAGCTGACTCGCTGCTTAATCACAGTAACACCTGCTAGTGGACAAGCTCTACTCTCAGCCCCCAAAATTCTATTCAGCTTTTATTATTCTACTGAGACAGACAGATACCACCAGACCTTTGAGGAATGTTGTTTCATAAAGACAGAGACTAAATGAATAAACGTTTAAAATTACAAAATAGAGAAAATGCAGAGAGAAAAAGAATTCAAAAAGAACAAAATCTGTTTCTTAGGAATAGCCTCAAAATATAGTAATGTTTTGCATTCAGAAATTTAGGAGATTTTTTTTAAAAAAGGAAGAAACAGGACAAGAGACCTTAGCAATTAAATGAATGGTAGCCAAATTTACAGCCAATAGACAGGCTGAAAAATAAAGGTGAGGAAACCCCCCAGAATGCAGAATTAAAATAAATGGAAAAAAGAAATTTTAAAAATTAGAATATCCATCCAGATTATTCAATTCCATGAACTCTGAGAAAAGAAAATGGGGGTTGGGTAGTTATTGAGATAGAAGAACCCCTCCAAGATCTGAAAGCTCTAGGTCTCTAAATTAATAGTCTTTGTATACAAAAAGAGAACGTAATATTGTACCTCTTGTTCAGCAACAATGCAATCATCTCATATTGGTTTAACCAAAATTGAAACATAATTATATGGGAGTATGGGGGAAGGTGAAATTGGGTGAAAAGTAATACGGAAGAGTTAATCTTCATCTATTACAGTAGGAAAGCAATGCATAATATCTAAATAAATAAGTATAAATATATATGTATATATAAATATATGTATATATATAAAAATATATTATATACATATATATGTATATAATATATTTTTTGAGATAGAGTTGTGTTCTTGTTGCCCAGGCTGGAGTGCAATGGCGCGATCTCAGCTCACCGCAACCTCCGCCTCCCGGGTTCAAGCCATTCTCCTGCCTCAGACTCCTGAGTAGTTGGGATTACAGGCATGTGCCACCACGCCCAGCTAATTTTGCATTTTTAGTAGAGACGGAATTTCTCCATGTTGGTCAGGCTGGTCTCGAACTCCCGACCTCAGGTGATTCACCTGCCTCGGCCTCCCAAAGTGCTGGGATTACAGGCATGAGCCACCGCACCCGGCCCAAATAAGTACAAATATTTAAGCATGTTATGGAGAAATATTAAAGTAGTTGTTGGTAAGAAATAGCAAAAATCATTGAACATATTAGCAATTGGGGAGCAAGGCCAGAGTTCAGGAGGAGAGAGGCAGGGGACTACTGTTTTTGTCAATATGAGCCAATAAAAGTCAGTGTTACCCACGTTGTGCATACATTACTTTGAAAAAGACAATGAAAAGCAAACACGAAGCACAAGACAACTAGAGAATGACTTCCCGTTCTCAGGGAGTTCTTCCTCTGAAGTCTCTGCCAGGCTAAGAGACAGAAGCTGGGAAGGGACCTGTGCTGGGCTCCTGGCTTTCCATACTTTCGAGTTTCCTCAGCAAAGTTGGAGAGGCAGACTGTGCAGCAGATACCTCACTGGGTTATCACTATCTGATTCCTTCTTTTCTCTTGGCTCTGAAATTTTAGATAAGGATGTGTCACATATGTGAGATACAAAAACCTGTGTGCCCTTCAGTATCGTGACTCCGCAATACAGCAAGTAGAAATGTTCAGAATAACCAAAATGTGAACACCTTAAGCAAATCTTCCATTTGAAAGAACCTCACACATCAGGATTTAATTATCCCAGTGAGGGTATATCTTTTAAATTAAATTGCTCTCCCAAAATTATAAAGCTAACCTGTTCTTCCCCACCAGGGAAACAATGTAATGCTGTACAAAAAATAGCACCAATACACACCTCCCCACCCACCAATGGGGCACATGTTTGCTTAAACTGCTTTTCCCATAGGAACAAATTTATTATATTACTCTGGTCTCCTTTGGCTAAATTTTAATATAGACACAATTCTTCAACATTCATGGGTTATCTATCTACCTACCTACCTACCTATCTATACCTCCATTAAATTCAAGGTCTAAATCTGATCAGGAAGCTAAACTATACCTGGTTTGGTCAACTTGTTAAGAGGTATTGATCAGGAAAGACATTTTATTAAACAAGGAAGCAATTAAGCAATTATATGTGTTTGTCTGTGAATTTTGTATGATGCATTTGAAATTTACTTTCTATGAAGATTATGTAGCCTGCTGCCTGAATTTTTCTTCTGATCACATCTTACCAAAGAGGGCCAGCTATATCCAATAAAGATCAACTCCACTTACTTAATGGTCCCTCTAGTCTCAACCACTAGTATTGATCATTCCTGAGACTGCTGGCAACAGTCTAAAAGAGATTTGTATTTTGGGAGAGGGTATATTAATGTTTCCCTGGTCAGGGCTGCCCCTATAGTACTCTGGGCCTGGCCAAATACTTTTTTCAAAACTCCTGTTTAAAAAGCAATTTGAGTCATCCAAAATGAACAGGCCAGCACTGTTCTGGGACCCAGTCTCACAGCATCCTGCCAAAGAAATACCATGCCGGCCTGCAAAAGAGATGAGCTCACCTCCCCACTCTCCTAGGATTGGTGCCTATCTGGCCACAGGGCCTCGGGATGACCCTGTAGGTGCAAGTCCCAGAGCTCCTCAGGGCATCTGGTTGACTCATGCATGGGGCGGGTGGGTAGAGGGTTGGAGAACATCCAAGAGGGGAAGACAAGCTGGGCTCAGGGGTCCTGCTCAGATGGCTCTGTGAGCCAGGCCACACACAGGCATTGGAGCTTAGAACTCTGAAGGAAGGCACTGCCAGGCCTGGGGCCCCTTAAGTCTAAGGATGACACCATCCTTGGTTTTCTAAGACAACCATTGGGAGTACACAATAAACATACTACCTTGACAATATTTAAGTGAACATTTAAAGCCACGACCTTCTGTCCCCTGGGCTCAGAGGCTGAGAGCTGAGGTTGACTGGACATACAGATTATACACAACCCAGCAACAGTGGGGCAAGGGCCAGCCGTCTGAGAGAAGGGATGTCTTCAGGGATCAGACACATTCTGAAACTTATAGGTTCCTGGCATATAAATGGAAGTTTACACTCACTGCAATCATGATTACGTTTTCAGAAGAAAATGCTGACCAGTTTCTACGTAGGAACTGTTCTCCTGGCACAAGGTTACTAGACCATCAGACCAATTTCTCAGCAGTTCTGTAACTCAAGTGCTTATGGCTTCTATCTCTGGACACACAGCTACTCACTCCCAGAACTGGAGTGTAGTATTGGAAGGCTAACAGTTTAGAGTGGTAGGTATTACCTCTGTGGCCTGGACCCTAATTTAACAGATGCAGCCTCTGACCTGCCTGTCTCTGCAGGGAGGGATGCTTGTTTAACCCCTTAGCTCCTGACTATTTCTCTGAAGAACTCAGCCACATAACCGAGTTCAGGGAAAGGCACCTGCAGGCTCTACCTAGCAACCTCCTGATCCTGTCCCTCCCCATGTCTATCATATGCAGGTGGGGACAAGGTTCTAAACCCTTACCCAATGCCCAGGACATGCTTTGGATCCCCACTGGGATGGGAAACACAGGCACCTAGGGGAAGGGCTAATGAGATGGGAGGACACCCAAGACCTTCCCTGCTCCATGGTGTCTCTCAAGAGGAACCTTCTAATGAGAATGGTATTGCGACCCTAGGAACTTGGACGAAGCCCTGCCTATGGAAAACCAATCAGGCAAGGATCGAGGGATTGTAAATACCCAAGGACACTGTGCCCACAGCCCAGGGCTGCCCAGCCCACCTCCTGAGCATTTTGGTTCAGCTGTTGGCAGTTCAGAGAGAGCAGCTGTGCAGCCTAAATTGTCCCCAAAATGGCATCTGTCTCTCTGCCCTGGCTCTGCAGAGGGCCTGAGCCACACAGGCTCTCACCATTCGTGAGCTCGAATACTCCTTCAAAGGAGATCCTGAGCTTTGGTGTGTGTGCAGGTGTGTGTGCGTGCATGTGTGTGTGTGTACATACATGTATGCAGTATGAGTAAAGTTCTTTTAAAAAGAAATCTCATACATTCTATGGCCATTTCTTAGGAGATATTTGAAAGTGGGGAAATCACATAAATCACATCACCTTAGACTTCAGTCAATCTAGCTCTAAAATGGGCTTCAACTAGAAGAATTCTTGGGTTCCATCTATGGTTTTGTTCTGTAAACTTCAAAAACAATGTGGTAATACTGTGAACAGGCTTCAGGGGTTCAAATGGGAGTAAATTGGTGGGCTGTTTTTTCTGTTTCTTGGATTGCATCAGTAATATTTTACTGAAAGCATCAGTTTGCTTTGTAGAAGATCTGATGTGGGAAAGGTGGGAAGGAGTGGATGGGTTTCATCAAGATCCCAGGCAGCTGAATTATCATTATTATTGTCCAGAGATCCCTTAAGCTCGAACATCACACAAACACACACAAAAGGTTAGCACCCATCAGTAACATGCAGAATTGAATACATTCTACAAAGCTTTACAGTCAGAGGAATGGCCCTGGTTCTCAGTTCAAAATGATTTCAGTGAAAATATCCCAGCGAAGTATGGAATATTTCCACAATATAAGGAATAGTTCCCCTAGACCTTTTCTTCTTGGTCATAGTTACCACCCTTCTCTTGGATCACCAACAAATATAGCAATGGCAGCCGCCAACTCTGGACTTTTCCTGCTGCCTGAAGTCAGCTAATAGGTCATTTCCCTGTCACCTCCTGGCTGATGGGAATTGAAGGAACAATTATGTTTCACATGCTTGGGCTGATCGACGAACAAATCATCAGCTGCTAATTGAACTATGGCTAAAACTCTAAATGCTCTAACCAAAGATACTGTTGGTGTCATTGGGTTTGAGAGTTTGCCACCCACGGCTGGAGCCCCTGCTTCTGAGCTCCACTTCAGGCTACACAATGGCGGGAGTCAGCAAACTATGGCCCCGGGGCCTGCTGTTTTGTAAATAAAGTTTTATTGGTACACAGTCACACCCGTTCATCTATGTGTTGACTATTGCTTCAGGTAAAAGGAGAGTTGAGTAGTTGATACAAAAACTGTAGGTCCTGGAAAGCCTAAAATATTTACTATTTGACCCTTGATGTAGAATTTTGCTGACCCCTGCTCTGGGGATGGCTGCTGAGCACTTACTGTGGTCAGAAAATGACCAGCAGAGGGTGGACCTGCAGGTGTATTGGCTGTCAGCTGTGGCCATTTCAGAAGCACCCATCTTTATCAATGGATGTGAAATGGCTGATTTAACAAGTGCCTTTTATCTAAAAGTAATAAGGCCAGGCTCAGTGACTCACTACTGTAATCCCAGCATATTGGGAGGCCGAGGCGGGCAGATCGCCTGAGATCAGGAGTTTGAGACCAGCCTGACCAACATGGTGAAACCCGGTCTCTACTAAAAATACAAAAAATTAGCTGGGCATGGTGGTGCATACCTGTAATCCCTGCTACTTAGGAGGCTTGAACCTAGGAAGCAGAGGTTGCAGTGAGCCGAGATCCCGCCATTGCACTCCAGCCTGGGCAAGCAAAACTCCATCTTAAAATAAAATAAAGTAAAAGTAACAACTCTCCTCTTGTATAAGCGGCAGGGAGTTGAGATCACTTACTTTGTTTTCTATAATCCCAGAGTAAAAGTTCACTTGATCCAGAAGGCAGACTCGTTCAAAGACTAACATCAGGGCCACAAAAGCTGCAATTGCGGCCATCACATTAATTTTTAGGCAGGCCACTTCATCAGGTTTTATGCTTTTTATGTACACTGAAAACTTAGCTTGGCTTGTCCAGCCATGGGACTGTCAGGTAAAGAATGCTTGTAATTATGTACGTAACAGGGAGTTTATCTGTTGGGTGGACATTTGGGCAGGTACTTGCAGTCTTCCAACTCTGGCAAGTCAAGGGCTTGTTTCTGATTGGAAAGCCGATTCAGCCAGTGTGTGCTGCTTACTGGATTTCTTGTGTGTTCAGGAAAATGCTGTAGCTACAGAGTCCCCCATCCTCTAGCTGTGGATCAGGTCCCATGCTCCTGGGTTTCTGGTCCTGGATTACCTGAGCTATGTGATCACAAATGAATCCCTTATTCTTATAGATGAGGGAACTGAAGTTAAGAGGTTTTGCCGGAACTAAGTGAACCCTAAGGTTACCTCCTGATAATGTTCTAATCCCAGAATGGATTGGCCTGAAATATCAGCCAATGACATAAATTTGCTAAACTCCTAAGAAATATTTTCCATACAAGAGGCATCTCAGTCTAGCATTGCAGCGGGCATAAAACTCAACACAAGAATACCAAGGTTATGGACTGAGGCCTGCTCTGTAGGTGCTCACAGTCTTGGGAAGAGTCAGGCTGGGAGACAGAGGGTCCAGAGAGCACCTGTTCTCTCCATCCTGATGGTAACATGCAATGTGAAGATACACCAGTTAGATTAGCTGCTGGTCGCACCCCATCCCTGTACCCCTGGTTCATGTGCTGGACAGGCAGCAGCTGCCTCCTGTGAAAAAATTATGTCTCCTCCTTCACCTGCTCTCTTCCATGTGGCAAGCCTACCCCACTGCTTTCTCTGTCACTGTCCTGTAGCCAGCACCTCCAGCAACCCCTTTATCTCACTTACACCTAAGAAAAGTCTCTCCAAACTACTGTAATGTGACATCTAGGATGCACCAAGGCATAAAAGAGTCCAACAGTGTGGTTTCTGTGGAGAACCCCAGGCTAAGGTCAAAGAACAGGGTATAGAGAGGTGAAAGATGAAGGCAGGAAAGAAAGGCCGTGCCAGGCCATGCAATGTGTCGTGTGCCAAACTCAAATGTGTGGGGTTGATCTCGTGGGCAGGTGATGCTCAAAGGTGATGGAAAAGCCTCTTTAAAAGCATGCCTGCCTCCTCAGCCCCAGGGAAATGTTGTTGTTGCCTTAGGTCAGGTTCCCCAGAAGCAGAGGCTGAGGCGGGGCTGTGGGGATTATTGGGGAGCATGATGTTAATAGGAGGAGGGAGGGAAGCGGCCTGGGGCAGGGGAGACAGGAGGCACTGATGTGGTCCCAACTGGAGACCAGCTGCAGTCGAATGCCATCTGGAAGTGAAAGCATGCAATGCACTTCACAGCTGGTCCCTGAGGGAGGGCAAGGGGATGGCTATGTGTGTACCTGCCTCCATCAGTGACAACCTCCCAGCAAGGGAGGTCTGGGTGAGCACCAAGAGCCGTCACTGCTACTGTCTGCTTCCCGTCGAACACAACTGGAAGCATTGATGGCGGGGCATTGCCTGTGTGAACCGTGTCGAGACCAAAATGCTTTCTAAGAAGTGACAGTATTGCCAGTCACAGGCTTACAAGCGCAGGAATGCAGTGACAAAATCAGATCAGTGCTGAGGAGGCTCTGGGGACAGGGTGAAGGGCAGTCCAGGAACAGAAAGCCCGCAGCTCAGAGACCAGCCAGGGGCTGCTGAGAAGGTCTAGGGAGGAGGTGACCTGGATGGATGGGGGAGGCCTGGGGCAAGCATCCTGGGGCGGGCAGAAGCAATCAGGTGCCCCAGGTCTAATGCCGGCAGGTGGGACACATGTTGGCAGCTTCCATGGAAGAAGCCTCTACTGAAAACCACATCGGGTTCTGGGGAAGCACTGGGGAGGCCATCGTCTGAGCTTTAGGGACAACCTTGCTATGCACGGACAGTGGTAGTCAGTCCGCTGTAGGAATCTAGGGGTTAGATGACAGTCTACAGATCTGGACCCATTGCAGACAAGATCACGGAGTCCCGGCAGGAAGCAGCTATCTGGGAACAGGTGTGGAGGAGGGAGACAGGCGACCTTGCCAGCCTCTCTCCTGGCCTTTAAGAGGAGAATGGGGAGGAAGAGCCTCCAGAGAGGCCCAAGCGAGTGAATCATGGGGGGGAAAGCACTTTGGTGGATTCTCCCAACTTGAATCACCAGGTTCCTGACACTTTGCTCAGAGTCCGCGTCTGCATGAATAAATGTAGATATGAAAGGGGATGACATGGAGGACCTGGCCTGGGCCAGCGCTCCAGGAATCAGGACTGTGCAGCCGCTCTCAGGCCTGGGAATGGAGAGAACCCAGACATCGCAGGTGCTTACTGGAAGCCATCCTAGGTGAAATTCTCTCTTCTCCCTCGTGCTGAGACCATAAGATGCCCATTCTTTGGAGACTTGGCAAATATGAGCTCAGACTGACCCTCCAGTCCTTCTGCAGATGTGCCCTCGGGCCTTTCTTTCCTAGGGCTGACTTGGCAATCTCACACAGCAAACAATTCCCCTTTTGCTCTGTTTTTCAGTATATCCTCCCAGAAAAAGCCACGTCTCCACGGAGCCCTGGTATTTGGTCCCAGAGGTCAGCAGGTTGGCAGGCGAGTCCCCCTGTTCTCCCAGGATTGGTTTCCCCCATCCTTGGCTGTTTCCAGGGCTTCCTCTGTAAGTCAAGGTGGGTGCCCAAGTGCTGAGGGCAAGTGGGGGGCCTTGCCAAATGAGAGAGGGAGCTCTCAAAAGTTCTGTTTATTTCCTGTTTATGGACTAAATTTTTAAGTTCCAAATTGAAGGTGAAATGTCCAAATGGCACATTCTTTTTTTCTTAGAACAGCAAAACAAAAGCAAACCTCTAAACCTCCCCGTGAAGGTGACATCATAATAAGGCATCAGAATCCCACTGTGATCCCTTCTCTGGACAGTTTGCTGTAGTTTCAAGCGATGCTGGGGAAAGAAACCGCATTGGTTCTGCTTGCTAATCATTACAACACCACGAATCAAATCATATTGTAACAATGAGAAAAAAAGAGCCGCCTTCCCCCAATGAGCTTGTGTGGGAAGCAGTGTATCTGCCTGCTGGAACTTTCCCGGTGGTCTGAGCTGCCCATGCCGGGGGCGGTGGAGGGTACCACTGGAGCGGGGGGTACCACGGTGGGGAGTGTCCACAATCCCGGCTTCCCCATGTCCTACACATCACTGAGTCAGTGGCAGCCACTGCTCCGTCTTCTCTTCATCCCAGAACTTCCCCTATAACATTTGGGATTCCTATCCTAGCAGTTAAATTGTTGTTTTCCAGTTCTCTATAATCTTTTCTGTTTCTTCTTCATCCATCCATTTCCTTCCAAATGCCAGAAGCATGATCAAGTCTTAAATATGACTTTTTTATAATCCTGCTATGCACAGGGCCTAAAATGCTCTCGGTGGGGAGCCCCCCAAGAAGAGCAGTTCAGAATCCCCAGAGCTATTTAAGTTTTGCAATCATGTTGGTAAACAGGTGGGCCCTCCCCAACAGCACACTTCTGAGGTGCCATTCATCATCCCACTCACATCCTCCTATGCTGGGGGACCAGCTCCAGATGTTGCACCAGATGGAGCTTCGGAGGGAAGGAATCTCACTGCAATTCCCCATCCAGCAGCCAGAAGGCAGGGCAGGGCTTGAAACAACAGGCCCAGAGCCAAGCATCCTGGAGGGCTTCGCTAGGTGCTTGGGCAGCCTCTGGGGCGTGGGGCTGGGGCAGCGTGTGCAGGATGAGTGGGGTGGGTAGGTTTTGAGATGGAGCTGACAGCTGGAGCCTGTGTTCCTTCACTGTAAAGGCACTGCAATTGTTCTGCTGATGCGGTGCAGCTATCCTGGGGGTTCACGGACTGCAGGGGAATGGCCATTGGAGGGATGAAGCTCCCTTTGGACAGAGCTGTGAGGTTTCTGCCCAGTATAGGTCTGCTGGAGATACTGCACCATACTCATCGTGCTCTGCCTCCTGCTTTCTAGCTAAATCCCCATCTGCTACAGGCATCTATTTCCTCGTGTCAATGTTATACACACGTAAGCACACAGAGCAGCCAGGATGATGGTGCAAACCCACATCACTTGTATCATCCTGATTTCCTTATATTGACCCACATGGTGGCTGCACTGTCCCCCAGAAGCAGCCCCTGCTTCAGTCACAGGGCATTCTCAGCAGGCGTGAGAACAGCTAATACATGCTTGCAATAAGAGCGATGGGGATGAGGCATTTTGGAAGCATTTTAAATTCCTAGCCTAAAAATAGCACGTGTCTTTTAATGACATTTGAAATTTCAAATAAATTAAATATCACTGCTTCAGAAAATTAAAGCCTTCTAGTAGTGAGCAGGCTGTGAGCATCACAGGTGACAGACGTGGCCATGCCAGGAGAGTGCCCACTGCAGCATGGGCACAGGGCAAGCTCTGGGGGTCTCTGGATCCCTGAATTCTCCTTGTGACCTCTGTGCCTGCTCACCTCATCGCTCCACTTTCCAGAAGAGGCAGGTGGGACTTGGGACAAATCCTGTGCACACGGTCACACGTCAGAAAGCAGCAGAGCCTGCGCGGAACACCTCCCGGTTCCCTCAGGGCAGGCTCTGCCTTCCTGCCCCACCCTCTCCATCCCAGCCCTCCAGTCCAGGCCCGCTGGCTGGAACGTTGGCCAGCAAACATGTGCAGAGAGTCTGAGGCTGACCCCATGGTCCCTCACCGTCCCCGGGCAGTTGCTGGTGTCAGGTGTGAGTCAGACGGGGGACCTCCCATTACTCCCCAGGCCTTGCTCAGTGGATTTGAAGGAGGTGACTCCCTTCAGACTTTGCGGGCCACAGCCTCAGGCAAGCCATGGCTCACTAAAATTTCATGAGTAGCCATAGGACCTCAGCTACCAGGACACCTTCACGGTCCGCTCTGGCTCCTAAAATTCATGGAGTGCTGGTCTCGGACGTGATCCACCTGGGACAAGTGTGATCGGGAGTGGGAGGTAAAGGGAATAACTGTGAGGTTTGGGTTCATTTAGGAAAGATAAGCTTGGGCTATCGAAAGCACTGCTTTTGTTTCCTTCATTTAAACATCAAAACTATTTCATGTGCTGTAAAAAAAATCAAATACAGAAATTAATAGGCCAGGTGCTGCAGCTCACACTTGTAATCCCAGCACTTTGGGAGGCTGAGGCAGGCGGATCACCTGAAATCAGGAGTTCAAGACCAGCCTGGCCAACATGGTGAAACCCTTTCTCTATTAAATATATATATATATAGGTATGTGTTTGTGTGTGTATATACATATATACACACACACACACACACACACAAATTAGCTGGGTATAGTGGTGGATGCCTGTAATCCCAGCTACTCAGGAGGCTGAGGCAGGAGAATCACTTGTACCTGGGAGACGGAGGTTGCAGTGAGCTGAGATTGCACCATTGCACTCCAGTTTGAGCGAGAGTAAGACTCCGACAGAAAAGAAAGGAAGGAAGGAGGGAAGGAAGGAAGGAAGGAAGGAAGGAAGGAAGGAAATGAATAAAGTGAAAGTAAAACCTCCCCCACCCAACCTACAGGAAAGTGGTTAACAATGAACAGTTTGATAGATTCCATTGAGACTTTTGCCTTTAGTCTTATGTTCACGCATGTATTCATCCACAGGAAGACAAAGAAAAGATGGACGAGAGAATGAGAACTGGGCAGGAAGGAAGTGAGCTAGTGAAGGTCACAGAGAGAGGAGTGAGAACCATGGAGACCCTTCTGACCTCTCACTTTTGCCTGGGACCCCAGGACCAATCCTGTGTTATTTTGGATGCTTCCTGCAAAGAAAAGCCAAGATTTCATGAGGATGGAAGCAGAGTACAATGTTCTGGCCTTTAGTGGATTCCCTGTTTTTTCAGACAGGAGAAATGACAAACAAAGGCAAGGAAATGAAATGATCGCACAATCTGTGCAGGAGGGTTTTCTTTTTTCCTACTTGAATCACCCCAGCTAGGTGGAGACAAGAGAAATCTGCCCAAGCACAATCAGACAGATATGGCCCCTGCAAAGCAGACCCAGTCGCACTGGGCAATGAAGCGAGTGCACTCCCTGGACAGGGAGGAAGTGCACCCACGGGAGCAGGGAGGAAGTGCACCCAGGGGAGCAGGGCCCTGCCTGGCAGCCGCGTGGCTTGCTCCCTCCACCCCACTCCCCACTCCCTGTATTTTATAGTGTGTTAGGTCGTTGCCCTTTAAACTGTCTTTCTCCGACACAAGTGCCTTCTGTCCCTTGTCTACCAAGCATATTTATATGAATAATGCAGGCCAAATATAGAGGTGACATAACATTCTTAAACGTGGTCATTTGCTGATGGCAACATGAGTCTGAGCCAGACAATTGCCCTCCAGTGTATTTCACAAGCCTGCAGGGAGCACCTGCTGGAGAAGGGGCAGTTGGCCAGCTGCTGCGAGACGGGGGGAGGGAGGGAAAGAATCAGCGAGGGTTGGTTGCCAGACTCACTGTCCCAGGAGGACACACATATGTAAGAATCTCCAGCTAAAGCAATCTTTAAAACATTTTGTTAGGTATCAGGGTACACAGGAAGTGCTGTGGGATCTATTTTGGTTCCAGGAAATGGGGGATGGCTTCACGAAAAACCAAAGGACATGGTGTTTCAGTTGGCCCCTGAACCACACGTCCTCCTGATACATCATAGAGGCAATCCCACAGAGACACAAAGTCAGGAGAACATGTGGCAGTTTTGGAGAGGGTGCTTGTAGAAGAAGTGGAGAGACAGGTAGCAGAAGGCTGGGAGGAGGGATGGGGTGGGCCCCTGGAAAGGTGAAGGCCCCAGATCGGAGGCAGAGGCTTCTCAGAGCGTGACTTTCAGAAGTTTGCTGCTGGGTGATACCTGGTCGTCACTTTGTGGCTGTAGATACTGGGTCCTCAATATTCACATGTAAGACAGACACCACATTCCTTACGTCCCTCTTATCACCTAGCCTAGCTCCAAATACCTACACACTTGACTTCTCTGAAAGAAAAAATGTTCAAGGAGGATTCTGTAACCTGTTGTTTCCCTAATATTTTGCTTCTGTATGGATGTTCCAACAGATTTCACCCGGTGGCATTTCCACTCATCTGTATGGGAGAGCCCTCTGTATATGCGGGACTCCCCTTCCTCTTCCTTCAATTCTGTATTTTCAATATGCATTGGGTGGACCCTTGCAGTTCAGGCCCATATTGTTCGAGGCGCAACTGTGTTTCATGAGGAGCAGGGTGGGAACTTGCGAAGATCAGCTGCACCGTTAGCCAAACCGCTGTCTGCGATGCCCCAGCTGCAGAGCCAGGCCCCCTACTCCACCTCCGTAGCTGGCACCCTCCTTGCTCCGCAGGGATGTAAACACTGACACATTCACTCTCCATTTCAATGTGACAAAATCCTATAAACCTACCAGTGTAAGACAATGCAAATGCATTATCTTCCAGTTCCAGTGGGTCAGAAGTCCAGGCTCAGCTTAATCGGACTCACAGCTCAGGGACCCAAGAGTTTGGCTGGGCTATATTTCTTTCTTGGGCTTAGAGTCCTCCTCCAAGCTCAGTGGCTGTTAGAACTCAGGGCCCTGTGGTGGTAGGACTCGGGTCTTTCTTTCCTTTTAGCTCTCAGCTAGAGGCACCTGCAGTTCTTTACATGTGGCCCCCAGGCAGTTCATGACAAGGAGGTCTGCTTTCCTAGAGGCCATCCAAAGTCTCTCTAGCCGCCTCCTCTGTGACTAGCTGTAGGGGTCTTTCTAAAAGCAAGGCTCATGTGTTTAAATAGGCCCACCCAGATTATCTCCCCATTTGAATGGCAACTGATCCAGGACCTTAATTATAACCAAATCCCATTGCAGCAGCACTGAAATCAGTGCTTGAGTAAACAACTGGCAGATGGTGTGTAGGCGCCAGGGCCAAGTGAGCATTTTGGGAGGCATCTTAGAATTGTGCCCAGCAGAACTGGTGACTGCATCAGCCTAAGTGGATTAGTCTGCTTGGCTGCCATAACTGGGAGTCTTAACAGAAATTTAACTTCTCACAGTTCTGGGGCCTGGAAATCCAAGGTCAAGGTGCTGGAGGGGTTGTTTTCTGGTGAGGGCTCTCTTCCCGGTTTGCAGACAGCCTTCTCCTCACCATGTCTTCACAGGGCAGAGAGAGCAAGCTCCGCTGTCTCTTCCTCTTCTTATAAGGATGTCAGTTTTGTTGGATTAGGGCCCCATCCTTATGACATCATTTAACCCTAAAAAAAACGCCTTATCTTCAAATACAGTCAGACTGGAGGTGAGGGCTAAAACAAGGATTTTGAGAAGGACACAATTCACTTCATAAAGGTATGATGCTCAACTTTGCCATTCTTCTAAATCTTTCTATTCTGAACATTGAATGACTCTCCCCCCATTTCATTGACTCTTACTGTAAATGGCATTGTCATAGTTTTAGGAAAGATGGTTTCTAAGCCACTGCTCTATTTTAGCTTGAATATGCAGATGAATAACTGAATTTACAGAGATCCCAAATTGTTCAGGTCTAAAATTATAATTGAAAAGATTGGTAAATTTGGCTAAATAAAACGGAAAGATTTTTATATGCCACAAAATACCATAAATCAAATTAAAGCTCAGAGTATGGGGGGGATGAGATTACAACACACAGAAAAGAAAGAGATGTAGATAAGTAAATGAATAAATGAATAAATGAGTGAATTAATGAATAAGTTATTAACTTGCAAAGCATTAGGAGAAATCATACCAAATACCAGGGCTAAATGAACATAAAGAGGCAAGAGAAAAAGGTCAATAAACATGAAAAAAATTCAACCTTACTAAGTAATCAAAAAATGCAAATTAGTAGAGTCTACCATCTATTAGGTTGGCAACAATTAAAAAGAATGATAAAGCCTTGTGTTGAGAATGTCTGATTAGAACAGATTCCCTCATATACTGCTGGTGAGAATATAAACTGATATAAATTTTCTAAAAGATAATTCTCCAACACACCTCATATGTATTAAAAATATATACTTCTGACCTATTAATTTAATTTGTGAAAAATCTTATCCTAAGGAAATTATTTAATGAATGTACAAAGATATATGTACGAAAAACGGCACAAAGGTATATGTGCTATTGCATATAATTGGAGACTATCTAGTAGCTAAATCTGTGAAGCTATAGCCCAAGAAATGAATGCCAAGCAGCCATTAAGACAAGATAAATGTGTAGTTAGAGACATAAAACATGCTCATCATTTATTTCTATGCAAAGCAGCAGGTTACAGAATAAAGTCACACCATTTTGTAAAGAAAAGTATTTGTATGCATAAATGTAGTTAAATAAACATAGAGCTAAGTTGGACTACAGATGCCTAGGAAATCCCAGAAAGAATTTTGCCAACTTGTTAACAGTGATTCTGTTTGGGTGATTAGAGTATAGGTCACTTTTGTATTTCCCTTTTGTTTGTTTACCTGTAATTTACATGATAACCTGAATTTCATATTTTCTTCATTAAACATCCATTGCTCATTTTAAAATGATATGCTGAACTGTTTAGAAACTTATCTGAAAGTTAAGGTTACATCCCCCAGTTATATTCACTCAAAGACTTTCAAATCTACTGCAGATGATAATTCATGATTTGTTTACTGCAATTCACCTCCTTCAAAGACCAAGCAGTCCCCATGTTAGAACTTTCAGGATTGGGAACGGTCAGAAAAGACTTATCTGGCAATCCGCAAAACACTCCGTCTTCGTTGCCTTTTTATTCTGAATATGGCAGACTCTTTTCCTCTCTCTCCTTTCAGGACTCATAATACAACCTCTACACACAGGAAGCAGCCCTTGAATAACCTGTAATCCTAAAAACCTACTGATATTAGACTAGGAGTGATCTCTAAATCCTAGGCAACTTCTCCTCAGATTTCTAACATCCTTTGGTATCTTACTAGTATTTAGCATAGGAAACTAACAAGGAATACATGGCAGGGAGTCATCTGATGTTGGAACAATCCGCTTTGGCATATGGAAGACTGTGAAGGTGTGTCCAATTCTGAACTTCATTTATGGCTGACAATTGAGTAGATGCTCTGATGCTACCATGCCGAGAGCAGATCCTTTTTAGAGACAACTCTGTTTTTCCCCATACGCTGAAGTTTTTATGTAATTTTTGTTTTCCCATCTTGTTCCTTTTTTTTGGTAAAAGTGAGTAGAAAAATGCAAAAATGAAAGTAGTGATTACAATGATAAGGTCATATTAATTTAATTTTCATGGTTTTATTAATAATGTGAATAGGCAGAGCTAAAAGAAGAATCACAATGAAAGTCCATGTGACATTAATCAACTGTATAATCATTTGAGTAGAAAAAGAACAGAACTAAGTAACATGTATAAACATTGAAAATATATTGATGAAAACTGTATCTTAAAGATAGGATGCAATGAATAAATGGTTTGATACTTTGTAGCTTTCAGAATCCCCTGCCCCCAACCTAACAAAAAAGTTGTATATTGCCTTCACATTCCACTTCTGCACATATTTGGGGGGACATATTATAAACAGTAAACATGGAACTGTGTTTATTTATATTTGTGTTCACTGTATATCTGCCCATTGATTTATATATTCAGTTTGGAAACCCAAATCTCAAACCAAATACATTATCCAATGCCAACTATATTCCAGTTTCTTATTCAATATTTGGCACGTTGTGTTAATTTCACTTAAATTCAAATATTTGCCCACTTATATTCTCGCATTTAAATTAAAATCTCTATCACTTATTTAAGCCACTTAACTGAGTATGTGTGGAATGAATTAAGGATAAGGTCATTATCAATGTATCTCGTGGTCCTCTTTGTACTTTTCCTGGGAGTACGATATCTTTCAATTCTAAGCCACTAATAGAAAGTGTATTCTGAATAGGGGATGCCTAATTAATTGCATAAACTTTAGCTAGAATCCTTCAACATCTCCATCCGGGTTTTAAGGTTTAGCTCCTTTTGATTGGTCCTGCTGCAAGCAAGGAACTAGCATTAACTGAAGGGCAGTAAATCATATTCAAATGTATTTTTAACATAAGCAAATTGATCATTAAATCCAGGTATACACTAATTTCTCTGGTTCCTCAGTGATCTTCAGCTACACTTCCTTCCTGACTGTACTGACCAAGATTGCCACAAATGTGGGCCTCTTTGCTGTGGACATAAAGTATAAGTCATTTACTTGAAATGAGCTCCAACAGAAATGCATGCTAGGTAAAACTGTAACTGCTTCTCCAGTTAGTACCACCATCTGCATGAGCTGCGTGGGGGCCTCTGCCCTTCAAGTTTAAAAAGGTCCCTTCTAACAGAAGCAGAAGAAATGGAAATGTTGCAAAGTACCTAATGGGACCAAAGGAATTTAGGAACAGGCATCACCTGCATCGACTGGCTGATTAACTGATTAATTGATTAATTGATTGATTTGTTCATTCAAATGGTATGTACTGAGCAGCTACTACATGCCAAGCACAATGCAAGGTGATCAGATATAGCAGTAAACAAGACAGAACTGAAACCCTGATGTTTTCAGCAGCTCAGAAAGCAAGGCATCCCCTTCACTGCCTCCACCTGTGCAGTGATGGGAGTCGCAGTGAGGAAGGGCGGGGAAAAGAGTCGTAAGGTGCATACGGTGTTTTTGCAACAAGCTGTATTTTCTTAACTGAAAAGTTTAATGAAATTTTAATTTGCCAGAAGGCAACAAGCTGACTTCTTCAATATGGTAAGAAGAGAAACTATTAATTATGGCTTTCTAAAATTGAATATCCTTGTACACAAGCTGAAGCCAACAGTAGCCCACACACCCATGCTCCTCCAAACGTGAGAGCTTATCTCTGGGCAGCTCTTCAATGTCCATACATGATGCCTTCATACCTGCTCACTGAACCCAGCAGGTAAGCAGACTCAGCTTCTCACAAAGACAGTCGACAAGGACAAAAGACAAAATGGTCCCCAACTCACCCTGGGATTAACAGAAAATTTATAGACTTCTACATAGAAAAGACTTTGGAGATTACTTAGTGGGGTCAATCCATAATTTGATATACGGAAACCTGAGAACCAGAAGGTCGCTGAGCTGCAAGCATTTTATTTATGTATTAACTGATTTATTTATATCCTCCCTACTTCCAAAAAGGTTTTGAGGCAATTCGCCAAGCATTGTGGTTAATCACTGTGTTATTATTAGAAATGAGGCTTTTCTTAAAAAAATTTTTGAGTGTTTCTAAAACTCTAAGGATTTAGATCATGTTAGGTATATAATTCAGGTTATTGTGTATAGACTAGCTCTATAATAAGCTGAATCCTCCTTGTACTTTAAAGGATTCCTGGCTGGGTGCAGTGTTTCACGCCTGTAATCCCAGCAGTTTGGGAAGCTGAGGTGGGAGGATCACTTGAGTCCAGGAGTTCGAGACCAACCTGGGCAACATAGTGAGACCTCATCTCTCTTTTTAATATAAAAAAAGTAAATAAACAAACAAACAAACCCCAAAACCAAAATGGATTCCTAAGAGAAGCTCCATGGTTTTCTATCAGGCAAGTGGCATGAACTATACTATAGTGAAGTGTTACCCATGTTTACATGTTTATTTGTGGTAATCCATCAGAGTAAACTTGGTGTGAATAAAATCAATTATTTGGGGACATTTGCTGTGTCTTTCATAATGTATGGATTGGTGTTTGCAAACAGAACCATGGTTGTTTAATCAGATATGGCCCTTTTCTTCACATAAATATGGAGCTCTCTGGTTGCAGTAGGTTAGGCATACATGTAGGCTTGGATTTGGAGTGAGCTCCTTGAGTGCACATTTAAAATCATGAAAGAGCGATGTAGGGGCTGGATAGAAGCAGGAGTCCCAAGATATCACGACCAGTGAGCAGCTACCCCCATCAGACCTAATTCATATATTGGAGGATCTGATGGATATCTTCCCACGGGCTACTCCTTGATGCTTTAAATTTTGTGGGGCACTTTGTCACTGCTTGCCGCTAGAACTCAAGAGAAGGAATCTTTATCTGTTTCTCCTTTCCCAAGGGCAATGCCATTATTTCTGTCTCTCATACAGACTGGCTGTGAGAGCTGCATAAAGGGCCATGTGTTGCTGGAGGGAAGAAAGAAATGCAAAAGAGACTTCTTAGTTGTTGTGGTCCAGCATGAATAGCGCATGGAATCATGGGCATGAAGTGGGAAGATAGCTGGAAGGTGGATGGTACAACTGATGGGGTAAAAAGTAGTCAAGAGATCAAATGCATTTCACCGGACTTCTTAGGCTATGAGGGACCAAGAAGTCATTCAGAAGGTGTGGTGCCCTCCGCACAGGAAGCAGACACTCGGCCACCTTCTCCCTGACCCACTGCGATGGCTAATTTCATTAACCAATGTCAACTTGCCAGGATTAAGGGATTCCCAGATAGCTGGTAAAGCATTATTTTGGGTGTGTCTATGAGGATGTTTCCAGAAGAGACTGGCATTAGAATCACTTTAAGGTCCTGGATAGAATAAAAAGGCAGAGGAAAGGTGAATTTGCCCTCTCCTTCCCATTCTCCTGGAGCTAGGGTACCCTTCTTCTCTTGCTCTTGGACATCAGAACTCCAGGCTCTCTGGCTTTTGGACTCTGAGACTTGCACCAGTGGCACCCCAGGTTCTTAGGACTTTGGCCTTGGACTGAAAGTTACACCTTCAGGTTCCCTGGTTCTGAGGCTTCCAGAGTTGAACTGAGCCACACTGCCAGCTTCCCCCATTCTATAGCTTGCAGATGGCCTGCATGCGACTCAGCCTCCATAAGCGTATGAGACAACTCCTCTGATAAATCCCCTCTTATATATCTGTATCTGTCTATATCTACCTTCTATTGGTTCTGTTCCTCTGGAGAACCCTGACTTGTACACCTCCTGCTTGAGGACCTCCTCTGAGTCTGGCCACACCTGCTTCCTCTGCTCTTAGAGAAGAGAGCCGCATAAATGGATTCACAGTAATTCAGGTTTCCACTGTGTGACAGGAGGTATTTAGGGTTTGGGTGTTTCTCCAGCAACCGACATGTTTCCTTGTCAGGCCTGAGTTGATAAGGCAGATGCTAAGTACCAGGAGGCTTCACTTTGGTCATCTGATGGCCTGAATGTTCTTTGTGTTGAACTAGGTTCACATTGATGGTTGTCTTGTCCAATTAATATTTCTTTAATAAACCAATCAATTTAGAAAAGTAATTGCTCAAGCTCACTGTTGGGCAAGAGAAGTCTTCCCCAAAGCCCATGGGGACACCTCTTTCCAGCCTTTGTTATTTCACCTAGGAGGTCACAGGTCTAGCCTATGACAGTACCAGTTTCATGATGGGTCCAATATGCTCCTGCCTACACAGAATAAATATTGAGTCTCACAACCAAAGAGTTCCAGTGACGATCTTGATCCACCATAGCCAAGTTAAAGAGACTGGGTTTGCTCCTTCCCTGTGGATCTGAGCTTTCCATTTGAGCTGTTCTTGAGCAGAATTAGTCTCTATCCAAGTCTATTACAGAGTTACCTGCCTGATCCCAGCATTCCTCAAGCTTTGAGCATCTGGAGATTTTCCAAATAATGTCTTCATCCCAGAAAGCATCTTCAATGCCATAATCAAGCATTCTCTAATTTGCTATTTCCATTCAGTTGAATTAAGTGCCTACTTTACATAAATAGTACTAGTTCCTTCTGGAGAAGTGTGTTTATTGGCACCATACACGTAAAACATCTTGGCTGTGTCTCATAAAAAGCCTTGATTGGTGTGTATGTAAGCTTTTAATGAACGTCTGAGAGAGTAAATGAAGCAGTCAAGTCCACATATTTTCTGTTCATAAAAACACCTCGTTTGCAAAGAAGAGGTATGATTCAGAGGAAGCAGACTGGGAGCAGAAGCCAAGTTGGCATCTTAGGAACACTGGTCTATGTTTTTCTGGAGAAACACCCTAGGGTTGGATAGACCCAACCCTGACCCCAGGAATTGTGTCAGCTAAGGCCTCTGAGGCAACACCAGAACATCAGTGTATTCTTATGAGTTGAGGCAAGGGTGGCCCCATACTTCTGGAGGAAGAAGCCACATTGATTTTGCATCCCTGCATACCACAGTCATTTCCCATGTAAATCACCAACAGCCATCCACCTGATGCATGTTGGCTCGGTGCCCTGTGAGAGGAGAAGTGGAGGTCATGGCAGCTGATCATGATCATTCCCTGAGCACTTTCTTCAGCAGGGAAGATGTGTGTTAATCCAAGGGGCTTGGGCCCTTTTCAATTTGGATAATTAGCTCGCCCCCCACCCCCACAATCTCCTCCTGCTGCTTCCTCCCCTCAGCATTGTTCTCCTTTGTCAGAGGCACCACAGACCCTTGGCACAGAACCTGACACCAGCCTGCTCTGCAATGTGTGTATTAATATTTCTCACTGTAACCCTGTCTTCACAGATTCCAATTCTTTATAGAAATACCATTTTTCAACCCCATACATGGTGTATGGGGGGAAGACATTTACTGGAAGATTGCACATGTCTGTGATTCTGCTTTTGTGTTATCTCTCTAGAGAAGGTGACTCAAATGGTCTAACTGTATTGTAAAGAGAAAGGCATGTACAGGCAGTGGAGAAACAGATGGATTTTGACTGGGAAGAGGGCTGGTTTCCAGCAGGGACTTCACTCATAAAATAATTACACAGGGGGATGCAGAGAGGTGGCCCCAAACTAGACATGCCAGAGGCAGATGTGGCTGAGTTTAGATGGTTGTCATAAAAGAAGTCCTAAGAAACATCCTCAACGGGGTAGAAAGGTTTTATGGTCATTTATCTACCCTAATAGAAAATTTCTGGGATTATAAGGAACTAACAAAAAGGTACAGGGAAGGGCTTCATAAGAATGTCCCCCTAAAGTTCTCTTCCCAGGTCATGGCAGTGTGTTGAGCGGACATACACTGTGGTAAGACAGGGTGGTTCTCCCAACCCTATCTATAGGTAAAGTGCATTTTCACTGAGCACACAGTCCTACAATTGGACTATACTATAATTTTTAAAGACTGAATTTTTATGGACCACACTCACCAGCTGGAACAATATGGCACTTGCAGCCATTTCTGCAAATATCCTTCTATCAGGCATATGTTTGTAGATTAATGTTTTCCAGAACTCTACCTAAATTATCAATCTGACATAAGTCTTCTTTTCAGAGGGTCTCAAGGTTCTATTATTAACCTTTTAGTGTTCTTTATCTTCCTAAAGAAAACTGTCTTTGAGGTATTATGATCAAGATCTCTAAAAGCAATTCTCTGGGTCTGAAGTGCCTGAGTAATAAGGAAGAAGATATGTGTTTATGTGCTTGTGAGAGCATTTTGAAAAGATTTTAGGAGTTTCGCAAGTGATGTGTGTCTGAAAATGTACTGACAACAGAACACAAAAATACGGCTTACCAGGGTAAATGAAATGCACCGCGCACCTTTTCAAAAATCTGGAATAAAGATTCTGTGGTTCTCCTGTAAAAAAATGCATACTACAAACAACCCAAGCCCACTTTTAAATTTAATTATGTCTCCTAGGGAGAGGAAGCCCAACTGTAATACATCCTTTCAGTTAGGGAACATTTGGGAACACCAGGGAAGGCTGACCCTGGAGATACCACAAAGAACAAGGCTGACTTGGTTCCGTCATTTTGGAAGCCACCATCTACCAATGACAGTCTTGGAGTCGACTGTCATTAAACAACAATCCTTCTATGTAAGTGCCACCAAGAAAAAACACAGGTCCCAGTGAAAGCACTGCACAGGGAGGCCAGTGGTATTTAGGAAGAAATCTATGGATGAACTGGCATTGGAGAAACACGAGAGAGGTAGGTCTCAGAAAGCAACATCTTCCAGAGTTCTGGGGTGGTAAAGAATCATGTGCAAGAATCCCAAGAGCAAGAGTGATTATGCAGGTGAGAATGCACACAGCAAGTGTGGACTTAGAGAAAGTACACAGAGAGGAAGTGTGTGCTCACAGGAAGTGTATAGAGGAAGTGTGGGCTCACAGGAAGTGTATACTCATAGGAAGTGTACACTCACAGAAAGTGTGGGCTCACAGGAAGTGCACTGAGAGAAAGTGGTACTCACAGGAAGTGCACTGAGAGGAAGCATGGGCTCACAGAAAGTGTATACTCACAGGAAGTGTACAGTCACAGGAAGTGTACAGTCACAGGAAGTGCACAGATAGGAAGTGTGTGCTCAGAATAAGTGCACAGAGAGAAAGTGGTGCTACAGGAAGTGCACAGAGAGGAACTGTGTGCTCACAGGAATTGCACAGAGGAAGGGGGGCTCATGGGAAGTGTATACTCACAGGAAGTGTATATCATAGTAAGTGTGGGCTCACAGGAATTGCACAGAGAGGAAGTATGTGTTTAGAGGAAGTGCACAGAAAGTGTATGCTCACAGGAAGTTTACAGATAGGAAGTGTATGCTCACAGGAAGTGCACAGGTAGGAAGTGTATGCTCACAGGAAGTACACAGATAGGAAATGTGGGCTCACGGGAAGCATGCTCTCTTAGGAAGTGCATAGATAGGAAGTGTATGCTCAAAGGAAGTGCACAGATAGGAAGTGTGGCCTCATAGGAAGTGTGAGCTCACAGGAAGTATGGGCTTACAGGAAGTGCATAGATAAGAAGTGTGTGCTCACAGGAAGTATACCATCAGAGGAAATGTGGGCTCACAGGAAGTATACACATAGGATCTATGGGCTCATAGAAGTATAAATTCACAAGAAGTGTAGGCTTACAGGAAGTGCACAGATAGGAAGTGTGTGCTCAGAGGAAGTGTACACTCACAATGTGGGCTCAAAGGAAGTGTACACATAGGAAGTGTGGGCTCACAGGAGGTAAACACATAGGAAATATGGGCTCATAGGAAGTATACACTCACTGGAAGTATACACAGAGGAAGTATGGGCTCACAGGAGGTAAACACATAGGAAATATGGGCTCATAGGAAGTATACACTCACTGGAAGTATACACAGAGGAAGTATGGGCTCACAGGAAGTGTTCACTCACAGGAAGTGTTCACTCACAGGAAGGGTGTGCTCACCGGAAGTGTACACTCACAGGAAGTGTGGGTTCACAGGAAGTGAGAGCTCACAGGAAGTGTAAACTCACAGGAAGTATACACTCACAGGACATGTAAGCTCACAGGAAGTGTATGCTCACAGGAAATGTATGATCACAGGATGTATACACTTATAGGAAGTGTACACTCACAAGAAGTGTGAGCTCACAGGAAATGTGGGCTCATAGGAGGTGTTCACTCACAAGAAGTGTAAGCTCATGGGAAGTGTAAGCTCACAGGAAGTGTACGCTCAAAGGAAGTATACACTTACAGGAAGTGTATGCTCACAGGAAGTGTGGGCTCAGAGGAAGCATGCAGGGCCAGATTGTGCAAGGCTTCTTGAGGAAGAAAATTAGATCCACACACCATTTGGATCTGCACAGATTTGACCTTGTGAAGTTCAAGGTCACATGGACCCAGGATGTGTGCTGGGACGGGAGGGAGCCCAGCCATGTGGAAGACCCTACAGGAAGGAGCACATCGGGAGTCAGGCCATGTCCCCGCCATGTCTTCTTCCTTCCCTGTGGGCAGCGCTGTACCACAGGCTGATGCTCTCCCGACTCCACACCTCCCTGTACAAGGAGCTGTGGAAGCATCAGATAATGTCAGGGCAATGGGATCAGAGGGAATGAGCACTAGATCATAGTTCCGGAGACTTCCAGCACTAAAATTCCAATTCCTCATCCTGGTGTTTGTGCTGGAAAGATGAGTCTCAGCACAAAATGGGAAAAAGTAGACAAACAGCAAAGGAACAGTCAGCCTTGCTTTGTGTGCACATCCTCGGCATTCCCCTGGGTGCTATCCAGAAACTACGTATCTCACTCCTTCACGCCAAACTGCCCATAGTGGGAGGAAGTGTTCTCAATCTGAAGACTGCACTGAGTGGCAGCCCTGTGCACAGTGGAAAACCAAATTAGCCTTTTGAACCTGCAGCCACAAGTTTCCACAAAGTCTGGTTTGGGAGCTCTTCCAGCATGGGGTGTGTCCCATCATGTTGGCAGGCTGCTGAGCAGAGGTGTGGACCTCATTAGCAGAGGCCATGGGGGGCGTGGATGCAGCCTGTGAGAGACTCACTCGGTCCTGTGGGTACCACTGAGTTGGCCTCTCTGCCTCCCTGGGATGACGCCAAGTCTTTGCCGGGAGAATGAGTCACTGAGCTGATGGGAGTAGAAGATCAAGTGGGCCTCACAGATTCAAAAGCCACTACTGAAATTAAACGACTCTGTCCCAGATACAGTGGGGAACTGCTGCCCCAGGTTTAGAACAGCCCCACCCTGACATTTTTCCTGTTGAACACACATTTTTCTCGGTTTATCTACTCTTTAACTCCAAATTGTACAAAAACTATAAAGTGAGGAAGTCGAAGGAGAATGACTTTCCTGTATTCTCCCAGCAGTATTATGCCTCATGCCTAACTAATGTCATCCTGTGTCCACTTTCAAAGCACTTCCTCATTTATCCCCTCTCTCCAGCTCGTGAGCCCTGAGGATGGGCAGCCTATCTTCCACTCCCTCAGAATGTCTTCACATCTCCTAACAAAGGATGAACAAAGAACAGAGCCCTTCAGAACAACAGAAACACAGTATTGGAGCCAACCTCACATTGACTAATCCCCAGGAAGGCACACAGGCTCAGGTGGGTAACAGTGGAGAAGTAACAGGAAGCAATGCAAAGGGTGACACGGAGCAGCTGGGTTGAATCCCAGCTCTGCTGACCAGCTATGTGACCTGGGGCATTCAATTTCTCCTCTGTGAACCTGTTTCTATGAGGTATATAATAACATGACTTATTTTTAAAGACTAAATAAAATACCATTTCTAAGGCCTCTGACACATTCCTGTCCCAGAGCTACTTTTTTTTGGAATGTTTATGTATATCACTGCTAGTGACAAAAGAGACATGCATGAATCCAACGGACAACGATATAAACAATATAGTGCAGAACACAAAGGAAGGAGTGGTCATTTAAGGCAAAGTAGGATAGCATTACAGAGGAGCAACATGAGCCAGGCTTGAATGAATGAGCAATGTTTTGCTAGAAGAAAAGTGTGGGGAAGGCATTCTTGGAAAGAGAATACTATTGACCAAAGGGCAGAGACACAACAACGTGCTGTATATACCGGGAGGGGGAGCTGTGCCATGTGGTTTCACGTGTGGCATCTCCTGGTGGCCCAGTGAGGGATAAAGCCAGATAGTCAGGGCCACCCAATGGAAGATTTTTTGATGAATAAGGAATAGGGATGTTATCCTTTAGGCAGTGGAAACCCACTGAAGACAAGAAAGATCTTTTTATCTGAGGAGGACAAGATGCATTTGAAGAAAGAATGGGAAGAGAGATCTTTCGAGACTACTGAACCGAAATGAGGACCTGAAGCAGAGGTGTCGTCATGGGAAGTGAGGAGGAAGAAGAGAAGGATAAAAAATATAGTGGGAGGGGAGGTGATGGTAATTTCAGATTACAGATAATGGGGTAAATGAGGTGAAGGGGTAAGAAGGGCATGGGCAGCTTGCAGCGTGAGCAGTGGTGGATGGTGTCCTCATTAAGTGGCCCATGGCAGGTGCCCTGTGGGTTAAGCTGAATTGCATATTGGGTCTTAGGCAATAACTCTAGTCAGTTACTTGTTTCCTTTTAAGACTTCGAAAACCTCTCTTGATTTATATATATTTAGTGAGCCAAGGGAAATACATAGTCAGATCAATATTAAGCCAGCAGTAAAACCAGCAAATCAATCAGCTGTCCAGCCAAAGTTTTCTGATAATGAGGGCTGATGAAGATTTGAGTTCACTGGTTTCTGTCTCAATACAAATTGTGACCAGGTAGAACACTAAGACCTAGAATTCAACAAATAGTGACTGAAAATATTCTTAACCTAGGTTAAATTTAGGAGGAAGTGAATAAGGTCTCACCCTCATCTGCAAAACTTGCCAAATTTGTCCCTCAAAAATATTGTTTTATTTATTGGGAGGAAAAAGTTGTGTGTATGTAAGAGTGTAAAAATGAAATATCCAAGTCCTTTTTGTATTTTCAGGCTAATATTTAACTTTTCAGAGAGTACACAATTTATGAATTCAACTCATTCCTATTATAATTAGAATTTATGTTGAGTTTCATGAAATTGTTTATTCTTTTCTCCTTGAGCACCTCTATTTGACATTTACAAATCAGAGTTGAAAGGGTACCTTTTCCAGATATTTTTTCCTTAGGCTATCTTCATTTACATAAGAAACATAGCTTCCTAGTCTATCCCTACAGACGAGGTTAGTTCCTCCAGATGTAATTAGTAAGAGAAAAACCCCTTAGTATTCCACTTACTGATTTAATCAAACATTCTGCTAATCCAATATTCTCCAAACAGGATTTTGATAACTTCCTGGATGCACATTGTAATTACAGAGCAGTGGTTGGGAAGCAGCTGAAGGGGATGACCTAGTTCCACGTGGGCCTTCCCAATCACACTGAGCCTCTACTTCTTTAGCAATGAGGGCCTCTGACATGAAACTCTAATTCTTGGCTTCCTTCAAGCAGTCACAGTCAGAGAATATTTGAAGGGAAAAGGCCTTTGAGATCATCCAGTTCAGTTTTCCCAACACGGGTCCAGGATGTCATCAGTCACAACTGACGTTCCTGGAAAAAAGATATCATGGCAAGGTAAGTTTGGGCTAAAACTGCATATCACACCCCTTCTGGGAGCCGTGGAGAATTTCAGCTTAAAATAGCTTCTAAATCTTATGATAAATAAGCAAATTGCATTGAATCCAGAATTTTCCAAACTTATTAGATCATCTTTCCCCTACTTAATGCCTTTGAACATTTTTTAGAACTTTTGGAAAGCAGAGATCTAACCCACCCTCTCCCCAACTTAAAGCTAAGACCCAGAGAGTAAAGGTGTGTGCCTGAGTTCCCTCAGTCAGGACCCTTGGCTCCGGCTTCTGAACCGGCCACTGACGAACTGCCTGGTTTATGTTCATGTTGACTCTCACTACACCTGCAAAAACTTATTTCTCTATGAGCAATGTGTTTCAGAAGGACCTGGACATGTCTGGCTGAGGCATTTTCCATGGTGATCTGCTCCGTAGTTGTTTTGGCGTCTTGCAGGGGCTACTCTTGCTTTATTTTTTTGTATTGTGGAGCTGCAGGCTGAAGTCTGACTCTCAGGTTGGTATATCCTGCAGGCTCTTGGGACAGGAGCTCATTCTGTGGACCGCACTGGAGAAACAGAGGCTGGAAGGCTTTGTCCTCCCCACCTGCCCCCATCTGATGTGAGATCTGAGGCAGGGCCACTGTCAGGCCTGGGATTAAACATCAGGTAAAACACAATGATGTGCAAAGTCCCCTGAGCCCTATATCAGTGCCATGAGAAACATGAGTGTTTCGGATACACTTTCCCTCATGGCATCCAGCACTCAAGAAGGTCTTTAAAAGAGAATTGAGGAAAGTAACATCATCCTGCTTTGACCTTCTTCCAAGTTAAGTGAGAGCATTCTCACATAGCATTACCCTATGAAATCAGGGTAGATAGTGTGACATAATCCTACAGATGAGGAAACTGGCCTACAGTTTAAAAGAAACACTCCAGATCTTACAGCTGGCAAGTTTTAGCAACTCACTAGATGCCAGGTCTGTTTTTTTACAAAGTCCCATCAAGACCCATTTTTCAGTGGCAACGACTAAGGAACGACCTTGAGGAAGCTGAAAGTTCTGCCTTCTAGGACACATCCCTGCCAACAGCTTTGGCTGATGTCACACACCCCTCACTAGTTCCTCTTTGTCTTCTAGCTTAAGCTTCCATGTCCTCTTTGAATTTGTCTATGTTTTCTTTTCTTTTTTCTTTCCTTTTTTTTTGTGTGTGTGGGGGGACAGAGTCTTACTCTGTCACCCCGACTGGAGTGCAATGGCGTGATCTCGGCTCACTGCAACCTCCACCTCCCAGGCTCAAGCAATTCTCCAGCCTCCACCTCCTGAGTAGCTGGGATTACAGGCGTGTGTCACCATGCACAGCTAATTTTTTTTTTTTTTTTTTTTTTTTGAGACAGAATCTCGCTCTGTCACCCAGGCTGGAGTGCAGTGGCACAATCTCAGCTCACTGCAAGCTCCGCCTCCTGGGTTTGTGCCATTCTCCTGCCTCAGCCTCCCTAGTAGCTGGGACTACAGGTGCCCACCACCACGCCCGGCTAATTTTTTTGTCTTTTTAGTAGAGACAGGGTTTCACTCTGTTAGCCAGGATGGTCTCGATCTCCTGACCTCGTGATCCACCCGCCTCAGCCTCCCAAAGTGCTGGGATTACAGGCATAAGCCACGGTGCCTGGCCGCTAATTTTTTATTTTTAGTAGAGACAGGGTTTCACCATGTTGGCTAAGCTGGTCTCAAACGCCTGGGCTGAAGCAATCCGCCTGTCTCAGCCTGCCAAAGTGCTGGGATTACAGGTGTTTGCCACCGTGTCTGGCCCATGTCTATGTTTTCAAAAGGTTAAGTCAACAGGGAAGGAGCTAGGAGGGTGAGGTTGGGCCCCCTGTTGCTTTCTGCTTAGCAGCTCTGTCCTCTAAAAATGAACTCTGGTCCACAGTTTTGATATGAACCATTCCTGGCTATAAGCAAAATGGTACTAGAAATAGCTTTCACACCGAGGCACAAAACTGACTCAGGCTAGCTAGATAAGCCTCTTGTTAATGTCACTTGTTAAAGTTGGTGACACTAGCCACAATGAGTGTATTGCAGGAAATGTTCATTAAGTTCCTGACCAGCTTCTATAATCTTCCTCTCTGACATTTCCAGGATGGGATGACCTCTACCATAAAGTTGGAGAACTTCTAAAGATGGCATGTGCGTAGAAAGAACTTCCCAGGCTTTTCTTCTTGGGGGTGTGTCGGGGGGTGGCGGGTTTTTAAGAATCTCTGATGGAGATGTTAGGTCCTCAACAAGGTAGAGAAGATGCAAAGCTCAACTGACAGTACTCACCATTCCCTTTTCTGCCCAGGACGGCATATTCTGCAGCTCTGGTTGCTAAGCTAACGCTGGGAACTGTGGAAAGTTACCCTTTGGTAAGTTGCAAATGCTGCATGAATGATTCTGTAGTTACACTCCCCAGGGTCAGGGAGAAGACCCAGCAGTAACAATCAGATTTGAGTCCCTGCTAAGATTGCCTTTGGAGCAGTGTCCCAGGCATGGCTGCTGTCAGATGAGACAACTTACTTTTAAATGTATCTTATTTTGTAAATGTATTTTTTAAAAATAGTCTCGGGCTGGGCACGGTGTCTCACGCCTGTAATCCCAGCATTTTGGGAGGCTGAGGCGGGTGGATCACGAGGTCAGGAGATCCAGACCATGGTGAAACCCCGTCTCTACTAAAAATACAAAAAATTAGCCAGGCGCGGTGGCGGGCGCCTGTAGTCCCAGCTACTCGGGAGGCTGAGGCAGGAGAATGGCGTGAACCCAGGAGGCGGAGTTTGCAGTGAGCTGAGATTGTACCACTGCACTCCAGCCTGGGTGATAGGGCGAGACTCCGTCTCAAAAAAAGAAAAATAGACAGTCTCACTATGTTGCCCAGTCTTGAATTCCTGGGCTCAAGTGACCCTCCCATCTCAGCTGCCCCAAGTGCTGGGATTACAGATGTGAGCCATCATGTCTAGCCTTTTTATTTTCAAAAAATTTTGTTTTAGATTTAATGTCAAACTTAATTTTAATTGTACGGTCCAATAGCCATAGTCCACAGGGCTGCAAATGTGACTGATCACTCTGCAGCTTGTTCCAGCATAAAATTCATGCAATTCGTATTTCAGGGATGTGGCAAGTCATGCATGGGGCAGAGAGGCCCGCTGTGCCTGTTGGGGGTAAGGTAAACCTCAGAGATGCTGGCCATGTGGGCCTGCTCCTGTGTTGCCAGGCATCCCTCTGTGGAGACGTTCTTGGGCTTTCTTCCACCGTCATTGCTACTGTCAGTCCCATTCGCTCAGGCACACTTCCGAGCCCCTTATCTTTGTGTTAATAGGAACAAAGATTTCAGCTTCTCTCTGTGAGGTAGAACCAACCTCATGTCCTTCTGTGGGTCAGGTGTGGCTTAGCCTGCTGCTACAGCAACCACAGACATCAGAGCTGGAAAGCAGCTTGTGAAATGAGGGAACAGCTGAGAACAGCTTCAGAAAGGGAACGCTGTCTTCGTTCTTGGACAGAAACAGATCACAGTCTGGCCAACATTGGGAAACAATGCCATTGGAAATAATGATTCCTTCCCATCCTCAGAAAGAGCTGTGTGTGTGTGTGTGTGTGTGTGTGTGTGTGTGTGTGTGTGTGTGTGTGTGTGTGTGTGTGATGCTGCCCCTGTTTCCCCCAACTCCCCCAGCATGACCAGAAAGCTGGAGGCAACAGCAGATAGCAGTCCTGGGCTGGACTACAGAGGCTCACTTGGGTGCACAGCTCGTGTACAGCAAGCAGCTCAGCTCCAAGTTAGTGAGGGCCGTGCATGAGCGGAAGTCTTCTCCAGCGCAAGTAAAGCCCTTTTCTTGACTACATTTCCTCACCACAGATTTTAATCTATACCTAAAATGCCTCTTATCTGTACCTAAAGCAAATGCAGTGTATTCTTGGCAAAAGAAAAATGGTTATATTTTGATATCCCTTTTCTCTTGGAAAATATTTTCTTAAAATGTCTACAGCAATCATTGGAATTAGCTTTTTGACTTTGAGATATTAATTTAATTGCTTAAAATGACATAACTTAGTATAAAATGCCCAAACCATATCAATTATGGCTAATCTGACTGCAAGGTTAGCGTTATGTTTAATTGTTCAGCAACAGAGAATACTTTTTTAAAGTAGTGAAATCCCAAAGGCAAAGAAGAAGAGGGGATACAGCTGACTGAATGTAATTACGATGGATTTAACTATGCTCCACCATCCCATCTTGAAATCCCCCAAGGAGCTGGAAGGGGTGGGAAGAGCAAAAGAGACTTTGAAAAAAGTGTTATGGTGGCTTGGGGTTTAGAAGTGAAGAAAATCGGTATAACTAGAAAATAGGGATATTTTGACTCAAATTACACAGAAAGTCTTTAACAGCAGCAAAATGAGTATATTCAGAAGGCAAACTGGGGCTGGCCTCATGAGCTAGGGGCCTCCTTCTTGGCATACAAATCCTTTTCAATGTCTGCAAACTGTTTAGACAGGTTTGAAATGCTATCGTTCTGCACCAAATGTATTTCAACCCCATTTCCAGGTGCAAATTCAAGCAGAGACTGAAGCATGCAGCAAAGGAAGGTGACAAGACAGAGAAGCCCCTGAAAATTCAGGTTTCGAATCGTGATGCTCGATGGACACTCCTGAAAGCTACACCCATGTTCATCTTGGAAGCAAAATCCTGTGGACATGTTTAGCTGATCTACCAAGAGGGCAGGCTCCTGGTCTCTCCTTGTTGTGTAAGGAAAAACGACCACCAAATTGTTCCTAGCAAATGACAAGCCCTCATAAGATGAGAGCACGTCCAGGTTTCCCTGTCTCGACGTGAATGTTTTCATCTGTCTCGATGTGAATGTTAATAGCACCACTCTTCTCTCTCTAATGACCCCATTTGGATAAAAAATTATATGGTCACCCTACTTAAAGGTCGATTTCCCCTTATGTCAACTCATCATAGCCCTATTTCACAATCACACATTTAACCAACCAACCAACCAAAATGCTAAATTCTATTCACATATATGATTATAAATGGACCATTTCTAGACAGTTTTCCTACCTCTCCCAGAACCAAAATGAATATTGAAGATGTTTGAAATTTCACCTTCAAGTCCAAAGATCCCTACACCATGAATAGCCGTTTCTCTAATATCTTTCTGATTCAGTATCCCAAGGAGGTACCACTTCTTACAGTGAGCACATAATGGATGGAATCAAGAATTGAAGAGCCTGAATTCTACCCAGTTAAGAACTGCATTTGGTTCTTCCAGATGACAATTTTCACTGAATTCCTGGAGCAATCACAGAACTAAGAGGACCCTAATAATCAGGTACCACAAAGCTGGCAAACACTTGTGTCAAAGTGGAAATGGACTGTGTCAGGAGGCAACCGATGGCTCTGCTAGGGAGGCCAGAAGATGATCTGTTTGTGGCCCATTAACTCTAGGTTCTTCTGAACACAATAGAGTCTCTGCTTTAATCTGTGCAATGTGAACCCATTATCTTCACCCTCGCCTCTAGCCACAGGGGTCATCCGTAAACCCAAGGAGCCATCACACCGAATGTGCACCAGCAGAAGAAAGCCAGTAACAGTGTGAATTCATTTTTGTGCACTGATAAAATAACCAAAGCCTGTGCCCTACCGATGGGGTGTTAGAACAATGACTTCCTTGTAAGAGGCCATGGCACGTGGATTGACTGCCAGGCCTGGAAGCGTTTGATGCATTCACACTCAGGTGCATTGCTCTTTAGTGGTCATGTTAGGATCCTTACACATCATTTCATTAGGTTTCTTAGCTTTGCTCTTCTCTAATGCGACTACTTTTTATTTAATAAAAGTAAAAGGAACATAATTTAATATATACATGTTTGTTTTACACTAGAATTTTCAGAAATGTAGGCGGTATATAAACAGAAGCAGGTAGGATTCTGAAAGGACTTCGAAGAATGAGTTTTCACGTCTTAGTTTGCATCCTGCTGTGTTCCTGGCTTCTCTTTGCAGAAAGGTTTCTGAGTCCACACAGTGGAGTGTCATGTCTCCCTCGTCTCCCATTTACCCTTTCGTGTGCCCTGATCTGGTTTCTACAGGCACTGCTCCTAGTGATATTTTAGTAAACGGTTCCTAGTGATGTCTCCAAAGACCTCCACACTGCACACCAATGGGCTGCGCCCTGACTGCATCTCAGCTGTTGGAACGTCATCTTTTCTTCTGGCTGTCCTCCAACTCACCACACACACACCTCAGCCCCCTCTGTTGGGATCTCTAAGGGCCCTCTCCTCTCTTTTCCTGCTTTTTCTTCCTAGGTATGGTCATTCATTTCCAGGTTCGGAACACAATCTGTGTGCTAACTACTCCCACATTTTATTTCTAGTCCAGGCCATTTCTCTGAGTGTCATTTCCTCAGAGCTGACGTTGCCACTTGGGCATCTCACGGATCTCCCAGCTTCACCGGCCCTGCACACTTACCCCCATCCTCCCGCCCTTCCCTGAGTCTTCTCAGTGACAGAAAATGGCGTCCATATTCAACCAATTGCTCAAAAAGCACAAAGCATAGATGCCATCATACTTCTTTCTTCCACTCTGTTTGCAAGTCAAATCCATCAGGAAATTCTACATATTGTATTGTTTGGGATATTTTTGAAACCATTTACTGCTTTCTATCTGCACTGTTTAAAACACATCAATGTCTTCCATGGCATTTAGAAGAAAACACTAACTCCCTGTCCACGTTCCCATCTGCCTGCTCCCACAGTGCTGGTGCAGGCTGCTTCCTGTCCCTCTCTGCATCAGTCCCTGGCCCTCTTACATGTCCCATGACAAGCTGCACCCCTGCCCCTCTCCAGCCTCTGGAGATGCAGTGTCCCTCTCATGCTCTCACCCTCCTCCCCTGCTCCCGCTCTCCACCCATTTGGCTTCTCATCCCTTACACTCTGCTTCAGCCAAGGGATTCTTCCTTAACTACCAGCTCTGTCAAAGATCATTTTCTCCCAGCTCATCACTGCACAGCCAGCACCCTGCATATTTCTTCATGATGACAGCAAAGACTTGAAATGGTGGGAGAGACAAATAAACAAGAACTAAGCAAGTGGAGGAGTGGAACTTCATTCCCAGGTAAGCCCTGTGAGCAGACAGCACATCTGTCCCCAGGTAATCATAGTGAGTGGGTGGCACATCTATCCCAGGTAAGCCCCGTGCGTGGGCGGCATGTCTGTCCCCATGTAATCATAGTGAGTGGGCAGCATGTCTGTCCCAGGTAATTATAGTGAGTGGGTGGCACGCCTGTCCCAGGTAAGCCCCGTGCATGGGCAGCATGTCTGTCCCATGTAATCATAGTGAGCGGGCGGCACATCTGTCCCAGGTAATCATAGTGAGTGTCCCCAGGTAAGCCCCACGAGCGGGCAGCACAACTGTCCCCAGGTAAGCCCCATGAGCGAGCGGCACATTTGTCCCAGGTAAGCCCTGTGAGCAGGCGGCACATCTGTCTCCTGCACCTGGTGCTAGCCTACTGATAAGCACAGAGGCCCCACCCGGGGGTGAAGGAGCACACGGGTCACTCTCCAGTCTAACCCTGATGTTTGCAGCCCTGGCACTGGCACCAACAGCCCTCAAGGAAGAATAGAATTAGATCTGGGAGAAGCAAGCTATCAGGAAGTAAATGATCATGTATCCTGGTTTATGAAATACCACTTATTATTACTAGAAATGAGCTATACCCCTAACAATTTTAAGAGCAAATACCTTCATGTAAATGTGGATCAAATGCTTCAGAAAGAGCTTTCAGATTGAGCTTTAATTGAATTTAAACTAAATATAACAACTTTACAAGACTGCTTCAAAGAAAGCCCTGAAATTCATTTTGAAAGCAGAAGTCATTCCGGATCTTGGGAGGACAGAAGTACAAGGCTCAGGCAGTTATTTACTGATGTAATTAATTGATATTGGTCAAACACAAAAGTCTTTGAGGATCGTTGAAGGCAATTCGGTCTGCGGGAGTTCATATTCTTTATTACGGTTTGTTTCCCTGGAGACCTCATTTTCCCCTGTTATAAATAACCCCAACGTGTCTTGCCAGTCCAGGTGTCCGACCCTTTGATACGATTCTGATTTTTCGGACAGAAAAACAGTGCCCGAGGATCTGTCCCTGGCTGCTGTTGGCTGCTTGTTGAAGATCCACTCCACGGCTGCTGGTATGAGGAAGTAAGGCGGGCCTGATGGTCAGAGGGAGGAGGAGGATGGGCAGAGGGAGGAGAGTCTGATGCCAGAGGGAAGAGGTTGATGGTCAAAGGGCGCACAGTGATGATCAGAGGGAGGAGGATGATGGCCAGAGGGGGAAGGGTCTGATAATTCGAGGGAGGGGTCTCGAGGCTCCATGTGAAGTAGGTCTGATGACCAGCGCTCAAAGTTCATAAGTCAGTCTAATAACCTAAAGAACTATGGACAGTAGAAAGAATACAGCGACATACAAGAGGGCTATTACATACTGGACATTATAATCTGTGCTTCAAGATATTGTTGCCAATTATTACAGCAAATTGCTAAAGTGAGTATTATTATGACTTCTATTACCCACATGAAGAAACACAAGCTCACAGAGACTAGGAAACAGGCTCAAAGTCACTCAGCTAGTAAGTGATAGGGAATTTAACTCCCATCTCTTTCTAGTAACTTAGGTTTATTTTATATAATAGATGGGAGGTATGCTTGTTAAAATAAGTCATTTCAAGATCATATCACAGGTTTGTAGGCCACTTCTTCTTTCCTTGACTATATTTGGTTCTCTTTCCAGTGTGATTTTTAACTGGATCCTCAGTACCCGAAATTCTTTACATTTCCACGTCACCACTGCTGCCCCTCCACACCACGCCACCACCACCTCTGATCAGTACACAACATGCAAATGCACAGGGGATGATGTGGTGATCCGTCTGTGATGGGAACAATCATTCCTCATCCTTATTTTATACCTTTGGGCTCCCATAAGGTAATTACTGTCAAACCAACTTTCACATAGGTCTGGAGAGAAATGAGTCCATTGTTTCTAAAGCTGTGTCCTTCCTTAGCTTTACATGCAAATTTCTAAATTGTACTAAATGTAAAATAAGATATTTTAGTTGAAGAGAATAGTCTCATGTGTTTATTTTCAGTAATTACTATAATTGTGAGAAATGTAGTCAGTCCGTTGAAAGGTCCCTAGGATGATGTGACACTTTAAATAGACAGCTAAAATAATATATATTATAGTTGAACTGGGAATCTACAATATGGCCTTAGAAAAAGAAAACAATGAATTTTTGTTTGTTATTGTGGACACGACACTGGCATGCTCTGGCGGGAACACCTACATTAGAAGCGAGGTATATTAGGGATTATTAGACTCCGCCAAGCCCAGCAGAATACACATGTCCCCCCAGTGCACCTGAAACATTCTCTAAAATAGACTGTATGTGAGGTCACAAAACAAGTCTTCATAATTTTTAAAAGGTTGAAATCAACTCACACAAAGTGTCTTTTCTGATCACAACAGAATGAATTTAGAAATCAATAACAGATGGAAAACTGGAAAATACACAAGAATATTTGGAAATTAAACACCCTGATAAATTACCAAAGTATTAAGGAGGAAACCACAAGGGAAACACAAAAATACTTTGAGCTGAGTAAAAACAAAAATACCACACAACATAGCAGAACTTAGGGAATGCAATAAAAAGAGTAATTGGAAGGAAAATTATAGCCGTAAACATTTATATTAAGAAAGAAGAAAGATCTTGAATCCACAAACTACACTCTGCCTTACGAAACTAGCAAAAGAAGAGCAAGCTAAACCCAAAGCAAGCAGAAGGAAGGAAACAATAAATAATAGAGCAGAACTAAATAACATAGAGAACAGAAAAACAGTGGAGAATATTACCGGATTAGTCCGTTCTCATGCTGCTATGAAGAAATACCTGATACTGGTTAATTTATAAAGAAAACGGGTTTAACAGACTCACAGTTCCACATGGCTGGGAGGGACTCAGGAAACTTACAGTTATGGAGGAAGGCGCCCCTTCACAGAGCAGCAGGAGAGGGAATGAGAGTCGAGCAAAGGGGAAAGCCCCTTAGAAAACCATCAGCTCTCCTGAGAACTCATTGTCACAAGAACAGCATGGGGGAAACCAGCCCCAGGATTCAATTGTCTCCACCTGGTCCTGCCCTTGACCTGTGGGGATTATTACAATTCAAAGTGAGATCTGGGTGGGGAAACAGCCAAACCATTTCATTCACCAAAACCAAAAGTTGATTATTTGACAAGATGGAAATCAAACAGAGTTGAAAACCCTTTCGTTGGACTAGACTTCATCAACTGTTCTGGGTGCATTTTTAATTTCACAAGAATTTCCTTCAACTTTGCATGAAACCAGAGTTCCTCATGTGTACTGTTTCTAATCAAGTGTATTTTCATGTTTAGAAAGCTATTTTCTAAGGAGCAATTTCCATAGTTCTTATAAATCATGAAACTTGTATAGATGACCATTTTCTACTACTTTAATCAACTCTTTAATTTTTGGTTCAAGGGCACTATCATTAAGGAAGACCCCTTTGAAAATGAACATAGATGGCCGGGCGCGGTGGCTCAAGCCTGTAATCCCAGCACTTTGGGAGGCTGAGGCGGGCGGATCACGAGGTCAGGAGATCAAGACCATCCTGGCTAACATGGTGAAACCCCGTCTCTACTAAAAATACAAAAAATTAGCTGGGCATGGTGGCAGACACCTGTATTCCCAGCTACTCAGGAGGCTGAGGCGGGAGAATGGCGTGAACCCATGAGAGGGAGCTTGCAGTGAGCTGAGATCGCACCACTGCACTCCAGCCTGGGCGACAGAGCGAGACTCTGTCTCAGAAAAAAAAAAAAAAAGAGAGAGAGAAAATGATGCAGGAAGAATGACGAATATAGAAATCATAACACAGTCAAGTATAGTGAATGATAAAAGTAAAAAAAAATTATAAAGTGTAAAAAACACATCACCTCCCACCTGGAGACCACAGGTAATGTGTCAGTCAGAGTTCAAACTTGAGAGTGAAACTCTCAATATTTGGAATATTATAGAGTAACAACCTTTTACAGGAATGGTGTGAGGTGCTATGGAAGTAAAGGTCTGTCGAGTGGGGTACAGCATCGCATGGTGGCCCTGGACTCACTGCAAGTCAGCAGGGCTGGAAATCGGGAAATAAAGACAGGGGTAAGGAAGAGTGAAGACAAACTTGCACCCTGTGTCAGCTCCACTGTGTCTCTCACCACTTCTGACCAATTGTAACTGGGCAGTTTAACTGCAAAATGCATTTTAAACTTTTTACTTATTTCTCGTGCGTTTCAAGATATAACCTTGAAGCAAATTGCAGAAGCCTTTCCCTCTTTGTCTTAAAATGAACTCCACATCCCTCCCTTTCTCACCATCTATACTCCCTTCACATTCATCTACCTGTATGCTAGCATCTAATTATGTCCCTTTTTAGAAGCTCCTGGGGGTAATCTTGAGACAGATGAACCAAGTCTGGAGACCCACCTGCAAAGTTCCAGAGATGACTTCAAGGTGGCGAGTCAACAGCCTCACCATTGTTGAGATGACACCAGCCCGTGATCCAGGTAAACTGGGACCCAAGATAGCCACCAGAACAAGGTACACAGACGTTGTACTCAGCACAATTCTTGCAAGCTTTTCACATCAAGTTTTCCTTTTTTAAACCCCTGTCTTCCTCTCTGCCAAATTGAAGTGGTTGCTTTGGATGGGAACCCGGCCACTTGTTCTTTATTAGTTTGAGTGAATAAAGTCACTTTCTTTCTACCAGAACTCATTCTTGTTAACTGGATTCTGCAGGCGGTGAGCATCCGGACCTCTGTTCAGTTACACGATGAAAACCTCCAGAGCATAATGGCCCCTCCTTCATTCACCTCCCAGGTCTCATGGCTTCACTGTGGCCAGCTCTAGCTCGGAACCATATGTATATAGGGAAAGAGATTCTGAGAAACTCCCACATCACAAGTTGATTATAGCCCAATCCATCACAGCTACATTTCCTAATATTTCTGAGTTTGCATCTCATCTGCTCATCTGGTAAAGAGTATGGTGACATGACTGCATCATAGCCTGGTTGTATCACCTGAGATGATGTAAAACTGTAAAATGCCAGGTGGTATATGTATTATTATTCCAACCAGTCGGTCAGCTTTTATTTTAGAGAAGCAGAATCAGAGGTAATAGGGAAGAAGAAACAGTGTATGTATCAATGGATGTGTTCTAAGATAAGATGACGACCTGACACAGACAGCCAGTTCTAGTTGGCAGGGGTAGGGGGTGGCATGAATACTTCTAGTTTGATGTTGTGAGATTTGTCTGGAAAGCACGGGTTGCCTGTGTGGAAGAGTTTTGCCTTCTTTCCACTTCTGCCATAGCCCTTCAGATGTGCTTCTCCTATATCCCATACGTGATGTACACATGTTTAGTTGGTTTGTATGAGCAGTGGCAGCGGAGGCCAGGTCTTGGCTTCCTGGCTGCCACTGGCCCTGGTTACCATGGACATAAGTATTTCCCTTTCATTCAGGGCAGGGGTTCATGGCCCCTCCTGCAAACAACAGTGTGCGTCCACGTGACTATTAAACTGTCAAATTCACAAGACCCACTCCAAAATAAACCCTTATGGTCTCCACAAGCCTATTTCTCCTCACTACTATCTGGGAAGCACAGACTTTAGGAAGGGCTTCATGTTTTATAAAAATGCCAGTGATTATCTGGAAAAAATGACACCCAATTTTCCACCACATCCTAAGACCTACGGGTGTCTACCTAAAAGCTAATATGTTGTCATGTTCCTGCCATCTCAGATATGAAGCTGAAGATATTTCATATGTATGTCCCAGAAATGAATGAAGAAGAAATATACAGTTGCTTGACTACATGACATGCAGCTCCCTGTTGCTTATTCTGAATGTGCCCTGCCTCTAGGAGGAGCTGTAGATCTGTGGTACTGGTAACACTAGGCCCACTAGCCTTATCATCATGCACAGCTTTTGTGTTTTCTTCCTCCCTCAGCTTCCACACAACAGCCCTGATGTTTACCAGCAGGCGTCTCTTGTTTAGTCTCATTGTCTTTGGCAAGTTCAATCTCAACCAGATTGTTGTTCTTCTCAAGAGGACTGATCCCAGCAGGCTCCAGCCCTAAAGCGGACTGTTCGGGAGATCTGTGTTAACTTTGTGTTTCAGTCCTCAGTCTCACGGTACTGGGTCCTACCGTGAGCGGAAAATCCCTCTCTACATCAGAACAGCCTTCTGGCCATGCTACAGTCCTCGCTCAGAAACACGGTATGTGTCTCTGCTACCCGTCTGCTCACCTGCATCTCCTACATCCTATCCAGCATTCTCCCGTCCACACCACTGGGCACATCAGATTTAGCAAATGATCAGTTAATTTACACTCATTAAGCAGCAGTCTCTACGATGAATCTCTTCTAAGCTCAGGACATTTGACACACACTTTGCAAAAATCATTATGTGTCATTGTGGCGAGCTGGCAGGTTCCCAGTTATGCTGAACAATGAAAAAGGGATAAAGCTCTGCAAAAGATAGAGTGGGGAGAGAAAGAAATCTGCATCGCATTGTCAGGACTAAACATTCTTTAAAGAAACCTACAGTGAGGTAAGAATGGCATCTGTGCTACTCTAGTCCAAAACGTGTATTCCCTTCCCCCTAAAAGACAGACAAAGACACCAAGGTACTGAGCACATCAATATAAAATAGGAGAAGAACAAGACAGGACTGCAGTAACTTGGTCTTTAAAAGAATCTCTAATTAAAAAGATATAAAATCATATTTGCTCAGACTTTGAAGGTAAAGGCAGAGTGTCTTGTACCTTGATCTTTCCACTCAATTATTTTGAGTTACTAATTTGTAACCATCCTTTAAAACTTGTATTTAAAATTTAAATAATAAAATTTAAAAATTTAAATGATACAATAACAGAGTGTCTTAATCAGATCTAGTAAATGAAATGCTTGGGAAATATGTGCACTAGATCAAGTTTCTGATAGTCTAAGCAAGAAATTCTTTTAATTTGTATTTTTAGTTGAGAATGTATTCATTCCCAGGGGTTTCAACCTGTTCCCATAGAAAGTAAAGACTGGAGAAGAGAGGCCTTTTGGATGCTGGAGGATCTTGGGGAGTCCTAGGGTCAGCATTTTGGGGGTGCCCCTCCCGTGACCAGAAATGGAGAAGAATTAAGAATGAGGAGTGAATTTGCCCTGGGACCAAGCTGAGCTTAGAATTTGGTTTTCTTTTAAAAAATTTGTATTACCCTATGTTTTAGAATTGTTCTCTAAATTCACTTTCTGATAAAAGAGACAGGTCTTGACTAATTGAGGTATCTGATTAAACAAACATTTGGCTTGATTAAAAACTAAGCAAAGAAGAATTCAAGAAAGATAGATCAGAAATGACATAAGGAGAAACAACTACTCTATAAAGGTAGATTGGTCAAATATGTAAAAGAGGGTTGAGATGAAGGGATATTTATATCTTGAACACACACTGAGAAAATAATTTTTGAGCATTTATTAAAGACCAAATACTTTAGGCTTTGTTTTATTGGGGAAAGTAAACTGTTTGCTTGTTCAATGACTTTCTGGGAGAATTAGAAAATTTAATCACAAATGAACTGCTGCAAATCAAATGTAGTAAAAGCCATTGTGCAGTAATCAAGGACAGAACATAAATGGTTCCTTTCCTTGAACAAGGGGTGTATTCAAAAGAGGGACCCTGATTTCTAAAGATCAATGAAAAATAAAGAGTTTGAAGCTAGTGTTTCATTCTTTTGCAAAACAAGCTAAATTATATAAAAAGGTTTTATTCAAGACAGTAAATGTCCATTCATTCATTCATTCATTCATTCAACCACTCTTCATGAAATTTTTCCTTGGATGAGAAAATTTAAATAAAGCAGAAAACATAGTCCTAGACTTAATTTTATGATCTATTCAAGTAACTAACCAAAGTGTGTATGTCTTACCTAACAGGCACACCATATATAAATATGATGGATAAGCAGTGAGTGTGTAAAGACCTTGTGACTACTGAATGTTTTGTAAAAGGTAAGAATTTAACCATTTGCCACAGAAACACATATTTGATTTTACATTTGACTTTATAACTAAGCTGTTCATAACAGGAATGAGATCCTTTTCTTCTGTTCAGAACTTGAACTCTCAAATGAGGTTACCTTATGCATTGATCGTTTGTCTATGATTGGCAAGAGTTTTACCAGACAGCAAGCAAGAAAGTAAACTGGTCAGCTCTGCAGGTGTAATTACTTGGATGGTTGTGTATTCACAATAACTTCTGTAAGTTTGTAGTGTCCCCACCTTACAATTGAAAGTGCTGAGACTCAAAGTCAACCAACCAAATGTGAAGAATCCAAACCCTATAGGCTGTATAACACTCTAAGAGCAGAGCTCTTCCCACTACAATGGACACACCGCAACAAGTACAAGTGTCATCGGTAGCAATGGCAGGATTTACAGTCCGTGTGAACTTTTTCAATCCCAAGACCTCAGGAGTAGACCCCACCCATGGACAATCAAGATGCAGCAGCAAGTGAGCCAATCTGCACTGGGCTTTTTGCATCAGGGCCCTATAACACTATCACCTCAGACCAAATCTCTGATAAGAGCCATGAGAATGAAGATCTGGAAACTCACGAAGGTCACTAATGGCTTCCTAGTCTGATGATTCTGTTCAACTAAAGCCAGGAGGAGTCCTTTGACAAAATTCATTGTTGTTTGGCTTTGAGGTTCATAATGGCTATAAGTAGGACCCTATAATTAGGACTCAGACTGGTCAATGCCTTGAGTGGTGCCTAAGTGGCCTCTGTTTACCATGAGCTGATGAGTGGCAGAAGGGGGGGACAGCACCTCCCATATATACTGGTTGCCTTTGAGGGCACAAAGGCATTTGTCTTTCACACCATCTGATGACCGCAGCACTGTTCCAAGGGCAGCCAGGAACCTGCCCTCAGTGGGCCATATTACAGGGGCAGCCCGAGAGAGCTGGTCCTTGAGTTTCTTCTGAGCTCTATGAAGTACCCTCACCTGGAGAAGAAAACAAGATGTGAACCCAGGTTTACACCTCATAACTCTTGCCGTCAGCATGCCCATGAGGCAGCAGCACAGAACATCGGCCGATGAATAGTTTCTTACCTCTCCTTCCTCCACTGCTGCCTCATGCCTGTATTTGAAGGCAAGGATGTTTTAGAATGAGACCCATGGCTACAGCCAGCATGTAGCACAGATATGAATGCTCAGATGTTGCCGAAGTCAGGTGTAAATCAGGGCGGACATTCTGGCAGCAAAAAAGACTGCAGAAGCCTCCTGGGTGCAGGTTGGAACACTTCCAAAAGTGGAACTCTATGATCGGTTGACTGAGGTGGAAGATTAATTATAACATCAGTATGGAGAGTGCAGCTCCCAACGCTCTATACCTGCTGCTGGGTGCCTGGGAGTTGAGCAATGGAGTTGGATGTGCCTTAGCTCTCTCTGACTCTCACTGGTTAAAGGCATGAGACAATGCAGTTAAGGCCCTCCTGCTTGAGATGAGAAAACTCATGAATTGTTTAAGTTCACTGGGAAATAACTTCTGTTCTTTGGTCCTGTTCTTTATCCTCCTTCCTCTACCTCAATAATTAAATAAAGGTTAGTTTTTATTATTGTGTCAAGCTCAGGACTTGGAAAGATTGCTTTACAGGATCTCATTTAGCCTTCATATTATCCCTGTGGTATAGACACTGCTATTCCCCTTTTGCAGATAACAAAACCAAGAGTCAGAAAGCTTAAGCAGCTTCCTCAAGGAAACTCAGCCAGTGCATGACAGGGCCATGATTCTGCCATGGATAACTGAGAATTTTCCATTGAACTGGAAATTGTCTGATGTTTGCTGAGTGCCTGGTGGTGTGTCCAGGGCTGTGCTAAATGAAGCTCAGTGTAGGAGCATCTTGTTACTGGCCAGAGGGGAGAAATGATCTAAGCTCATTTTCTAGGAGCTCAACTCTTGCAAAATATTCTGTGAAGATAAGAAAGTTTGGGTTGTCTACACATAAGATCATGTCATCCGCAAACAGAGATAATTTTATCTTTTTCTCATTTAGATGCCTTTAGTTTCTTTCTCTTGCCTAATTGCCCTGGCAAGGACTTCCACTACTATGCTGAATAGAAGCAGTGAGTGTGGGCGTCCTTGTCTTGTTCCTGATCTTAAAGGAAAAGCGTTTAACTTTTCACCATTATAGTTAGTGCCAATAATACACGATGGGAAAATAACAGTCTCTTCCAAAAATGGTGCTGGGAAAACTGGATATCCATACAAGAGAACTGAACTCTTACCTTATGCTGTACATAAAAAACAACTCAAAATATATTAAAGACTTAAACATAACACCTGACATTGTAAAACTCCCAAAAGAAGGCATGGGGGAAATGCTTCATGACATTGGCCCAGGCAATGACTTCTTGGATATGACACCAAAAGCACAAGAAACAAAAGCAAAAATCTTGAAAAGGCATTTCTTCAAAGAAAACATACAAATGGCCAACAGGCACATAAAAAGATGTTCAACATCATTAACCATCAGGGAAATGAAATCAAAACCACAAAGAGGTATCACCTCACACCTATTAGGATTGCTATTATATATCTATATGTATGTAGGTGTGTGTGTTGTGTGTATGTGTGTGTGTGTATATATATATATATGTAGGAAAACAAATGTTGACAAGGATGTGTAGAAATCAGAATCCTTGTACATTATTGGGGGGGAATGCAAAATGGTGTAGCCACTTTGGAATAGAGTATGAGGCTTCCTGAAAACACTAAAAATAGAACCACCATATAATCCAACAATCTCATTTCCAGGTACGTATCCAAAATAATTAAAATCAGGACCTCAAAGAACTATCTGCACTTCCATGTTCATTGCAGCATTATTCATAATAGCCCAAATGTGGAAACCATCTAAATGCTCATTGACAGATGAATGGATAAAGAAAATGTGGCACATATATACCATCAAATATTATTTAGCCTTAATACAGCAGAAAATCCTGCCATATGCAAAAACATGACTGAACCTACAGGATGTTATGGTAAGTGAAATGAACCAATCACAGAAGGATAAACCCTACATGGTTCCACTTCCTAAAGCAGGCAGACTTGTACAGAGAGTAGAGAGGTGCTTGCCAGGGGCTTGGGATAAGGGGAAATGGGAGGCGTTCCATGGGTACAAAGTTTCAGTTGTGCAAAATGAAATAAGTTCTAGATATTTGCTGTATCCTACTGTGCTTTCAGTTAACAAGACTTAAACATTTATGGAGAGAGTAGATCTCATGTTAAGTGTTCTTATCACAAAAAAAAGAAAGAAAGAAAAGAAAGTTTGTAGCTATGTTTAGTTATGTTTTTTTCCCTGTTTTATTTAGTACCTACTGAGGGATTCCTTTTTTTTTTTTCTTTTTTTGAGATGGAGTTTCACTCTGTTGCCCAGGCAGGAGTGCAGCAGCATAATCTCAGCTCACTGCAACCTCTGCCTCCTGGATTCAAGCAAGTCTCCTGCCTCAGCCTCCTGAGGAGCCGGGGTTACAGGCATGCGCCACCACACCTGGCTAATATTTGTATTTTTAGTAGAGACGGGGTTTCACCATGTTGGCCAGGCTGGTCTCGAACTTCTGGCCTCAAATGATCCACCCGCCTCAGCCTCCCAAAATACTGGGATTAAAGGTGTGAGCCACCATGCCTGGCCACGTTTTATCTATTGTTGATGCATTCCTTGCTACTAAACAGCATCCTAGATTTCCTTATTCCTCCACTGTTGATAATGTAATAGTTGATCTAAATACAGTAGATATCTGATCTCTCTTTCACAGAAAGTCACTGGGGTGTGTGATGGGAATTGTAAAGTAAGTATTGGTGATGGTTTCACCATAACAGGTGATATGATATCCACTGTCCACGTCATCCAAAACCTAAGTTTGTTTGGCTTCAGAGTTGCAGGACATTCCAATTATTCCACCTTTCTCAGCTTCCTACCCTTCGTGATCCACTCCAGCCAACATGTAAGGAGAATCTGGGGGAGTAAAGGAGGGCAAATTGGAAAATGTCGCTTCTGTTACCCAGTCTCTGCCCATTTTGGCCTTAATAAAATTTTGATCAAAATTTAAAAATTAGGAATATGTGTGTTTCACCATTTATCTGTGAAGGAAAGAATCCTGCCTTATGCCTAAAAATATTTTAATAATGTGGTAACATTACCACTAATAATAGAACCTGCCTACGCACCAACACAATTCCAATCTAAGAGTTAGTCATATCCTCCCATCAAGACACTGTGTGCAGATTTTCTTCAGTCATATTCAGATGGGATTTCAGGTTCCAGTCTGAAGACAAAGAGATTATAGATCAGAAGAGACATCTAATTTCAACTAAATCATGCTTGCAAACAAAGCAACACACACACACACACACACACACACACACACACACACACACACACACGAAACCCTGCCTGTTTTCATTTTTATTATCCCATCTGGCACTACCCAGATAAGAAAATAACTAAAATAAATATTTTCCATTAACCATTTGCATAAATCATGATTTACTCTCACAGGTATCTCAACAGTACCCACACCGGTGATAGGACTGATAATGTTGATTGACTGTTTACTATCTGCCATGCACTTCTAGAAGAGCTTGACTTGGGTTTTCTCATTTGTTTCTCAAAACATTCTTATGAGACAGACACCATTATTATCCCCACATTACAGATGAGGATACCAAGGCACCACAGAGCTAAGTGGTCGAGCCGGGAGTGGGCACCACCCAATCCAGCTTGTGCTACTGAACACGTGCTCTCTGATCACTGGAATCCTGGCAGTTTGATGGGAGAGACCTACTTCAAAAAATGCACAGTGCCATCAATGATGGAGCTGACAATAATCACAAATAACAACAACTGAATGTGTCTGTCCTTTCAATCAAGCACAGCCCATGGTACTTGTCAAAGCCCTTCTTTCTGTACCCATTTGAAAGGATGCATTTTTAGGCTTGAGCTCGAAGTCCCCATTCAGAATGAACAGAACCTCCCTATGTCCCACAGACATAGCAGATACATTCAGGTCTTTCTCTTTGGTTTGTCCTGCCTCACATGCACCCTCCTCTCCATCCCCCATCCTTTCCTAACTATCCTTTATCCTAAAACTGCTCATTCTAAGCCTTCAGCCCACATTAACCTCTTGCTTTCTCTTGTATTTTCTCTTCTATCCAGACACTGATCCCCAGACCCTGGAAGGTTTTCTGACTTTGAATAAAATAACAACTTCTAGATCTTGTCCTGGGCCATGGTCTGTCTGCTCTGTGACCTCCAGATGATGGAGAACTCCCGACCCATTTCCTCTTGGTGGGATGAGGTTTGCAAACTTCCTAGGAAATCACTACACATCAGTTGGGGCTGGCTGTTCCTGTGGAAAACCCACTCAACATTGCCAAAGCCTCCATCCCCTTTCTCGCTCATCCCATAAAGAATGGAAGTTTGTGGTCTCCCTTCTGCTCTACTGTTTGTACCTTATGATAAGGGGTCTGATGTGTCTGTGTGTTTCTCTCTGATTTCTGTCCTTCTTGTCTATTTTAAAACTCTGGCTGTTATTGTGTATTCACCGCGAGGTAAGTACCAGATTCCAGGGGAAATCAAGATTCTTCCCTGACTACCCAAGCAGAGTGATGCTTCTTTTTGATTCAGTCATAGTGTTTTCTGTTTCGTGTAACACAACTCCTTAGTAAAGGGTAAGCACCATGTTTCCTACCTAGTACAAGACTGATCAGAGGGTAGGCACTAATAGCACAAACACAATTTTTAGTTGGATGGAATTGAACAAACTCATTGCATTGAATGTTTCTGCATTTAACATCATTTGGAGAACACCAGGATGCAAATCTGGCCCATTTTCTCGCACAAAACTCCCCACCCATTGGTAGCCTGAAAGCCACAGTTGACAAATGTTAGGAAGCACCAGCAAAAACCAGTTTCCACCCCTCTTACCTTGACTTGTGTGACTGCCCACACTTCTATCCAGAGCCAAATGAAAGCTTCCAGTCAATGAAAAAATCTAGCAACCAATATTTAGGTAAGGTACTAAGAGCTATTTTGCATTCTGTTGCTCCCCCACCCTGCACCCCAATTAGGGTTCCCTGCATGGGCCCCGCAGGTATCTGAGGCTACTGCCTTGAAGCCCCCGCCCCACCCACTAAAGACACTGAGTACTGGAGGGTCCCCTCTCCTTGTTCTACAATCATAACACGCCCACACAGGGGCCTGCTTCTTCAGGGGTTTAGTGCCCTCCACTGGGGGACAAAGGGTAATCAATGGACTATTATGCAACTCACAAAATTCTTACTGTCTTTCCCCTTCTCAGGGAGAATTATGTCCTACCAGAGGAAAAAAAAATGCACACATCATCAATAAAATCTTTGTGAGCAGCTTTTTAAAAAACTATTATTATTTTTAAAGATTAGAAAATTAACAGCGGCCAGGCGCTGTGGCTCACGCCTGTAATCCCAGCATTTTGGGAGGCTGAGGCGGGTGGATCACTTGAGGTCAGGAGTTCCAGACCAGCCTGGCCAACATGGTGAAACCCTATCTCTACTAAAAATACAAAAATTAGCTGGGCATGGTGGTGGGTGCCCCATAATCCCAGCTACTCAGGAGGCTGAGACAGGAAAATCACTTGAACCTGGGAGGCAGAGGTTGCAATGAACTGAGATTGTGCCACAGCAGTCCAGCCTGGGCGACAGAGCAAGACTGTCTCAAAAAAGAAAAAATAAAAAATAAAAAAAGAAAAGAAAAGTAACAGCATACTAGAGTATAATTTTCATATGCTCCTCATTAAAATTTTGAAAATTGTTAGTTTTCATATTTTCTCCATATCTATTTTAAAAATTATTTCAATTGCATACAGGTACCAAAACATCATGCCTCGAAATCATTCAGGATGCATCTTTTTAAAAAATCTCAGTGAGCAACGCTAAAGAAGAGAGACCACAAGTTCTAGACGTTTTCCTGTATAATTAAGAAGAATCTGTTCAACAAACCCCCATGACATAAGCTTATCTATATAACAAACCTGCACATGTGCCCCTGAACCTAAAATAAAAGCTTTTTTAAAAAAGAAAAAGAACATTTTCACACTTAAAAACTGAATACAATTTTCTAATCTCATGTAATAACTTCCCCAATTACTCTAAAATGACTGGTATAGCTGGTTTGTATAGGTAAGGATTTAGCCAAGGCCCAGGAATTGCCCTTGGTTGGTGGTAACGTATATTTCAACTTAGAACGTGTCTGCCCCAGTGGCTCCCCAGCCCACCGCACATTGCTGGCTTGCTGGAAGGAATGGGCGAGTTGTTGCCTCCACGTTTCCACCTTCTGGATTTGTCTGGCTGTTTCCTCCTGGTGTGCATTAGCTGGACGCTCTGCAGCCTGTATTAGTTACGCACTGAAAGTTAGACCTAAGAGCTTGATTAAGTTCAGCTCACACATTTCTGGCATTACCTCACAGGTGATGCTAAGCACCGCATGGGGCATGGAAGGATATCTGCTTGTCCCAGTGTTAGGGATGCAGGAATTGATAAGGCGGAGAGCATCGGTGTTCTCCAGGATAAAGTCACATTTCTCCCCTTGCAACCAGCAGATGATCCCTGGAGTGATACTTTAGCACCATGTAAATTCCCTGAGATGACTGTGTATCCATTCATGACATTTGCCTACATCAATTGGTTTACTAAAGATTTCTGCATTTTACAAGCAAGGAAAGAAGGCTCAGAGATGACCGTTGGGCCACTTAGCAAATTGGTGGCTGAGAGGCTGGCCTGCCAGAGGTGGGATACTTGCTCACCTCTTGCCCAGTCCCTAACCCACAGAAGTCTCATGATGAGAGAACCCTCAGCACCCTGAGAGAGTTAATGCATCATCCTTTGGCCCCATGAATCTGCCCAGAAGCCAGCTGAGAAAAGAAGGTAGAGAACAGGGCTGAGGGACAAGGTGCCCCTTTATATATTTGGGTGAACACATTTTTAAATTTTCCTTTCATTGTCCAGTCCCCATGAATTATTTATTTGTTATTAAATTCAACTGAATGAGATTTCAAAGCAACGAAAATTGAAGTTCAAATGAAACCAAATTACCACTCTGAGCTCCAGGTGGCCCTGACAGCCCAGTTTTGTGAAGGGCCCCTGAGGCTGTTCACTGAGTCTGAGATGTCACCAGGCATGGAGGGTCTCTGATCAGCATCCAGAGCTCCAGAGTAGGGAGCAACCCCTCACCACCACTTCTGGGCCCCAGGCAAGGCAGAGACCAAAAGAACCCTGGTAAGGTTCCCCAACCTCCATGTTCATTTAAAAAAAATGTTTAAAACTGACAAATAATAATTGCATATATTCATGGGGTCCATCATGATGTTTTGATATACATATACACATATGGAATGCTTATATCAAGATAGTTAACATATATATCACCTCACAGACTTATGTTTGTGGGTGTGTGGTACAAATATTTAAAATCTACTCTCTTAGCAATTTTTGAAACATACTTTACATTATTAAATATAGTCACCATGTTGTGCAATTGATCTCAAAAACTTATGCCTCCTGTCCAATGAAATTTTATATCCTTGTACCAACATCTCCCCAACCCACCCCCAACCATCCCTGAGCTAGTCTCTGCCTCTGTAATTTTGACTTTTTAAGATTCTACACAAGTGACATAATGTGGTATTTGTCTTTCTGTGCCTGGTTTATTTCATTTAACACAATGTCCTCCAGGTTCATTCATGTTGTCACAATTGACAGACTCTCCTGCTTTTTTAAGGCTGCATAGTATTCCATTGTGTGCATACACCACACGTTTCTTATCCATTCATCTGTGGATGAGCACAGGGAATGTTTCCATATCCTGGCCATCCAGAACAGTGCTGCAGTGAGCATGGGAGTGCAGATGTCTCTTTGACAAGCTGATTTCAGTTCCTTTGGTTCTAAACCCAGAAGTGGGATTGCTGGATCATCCAGTAATTCTATTTTGGATTTTTTTTAAGGAACCTCCACACTATTTTCCATATGGCTGTAAAACTCACATTCCCTCTAACACTGTGTGAGGGTTCCCTTCTCTCCACATCCTCGCCAACACTTGTTATGGTCCACATTCACTTTTCAAGGTGAAATCCATTCTCTGCACTCCCCTGCTTGAAAGCACTCGGCGTCAGTGCGTTGCTCCTTCCCTCACTTCCGGAGGCCCCTGATCTGAACCTTCATCCATCCCTCCCCACACGGGTCTCAATTTTTCCTCCAGCCTTTCAGCCTCTTTTCTCTCCAGGGACTTTGCACCTGCTCTCACCTGTGCCTGGGTTGTCAGTGAGCTCCATTGCACCCTTCATTCCCAGCCCAGCTGCTGCCTTCTCAGGAGAGACACCTTCCCAGACCTCCTTCACCCACGTGCACCCCCACCCATCAGCCCCTTTCCCATTTCCTACAAAGTCAGGAGCATTCACATATCACCTGTTGCTCCTCTACCCACTGCCTCTTACCTCCACAAGAACACAGCAGCAGCATGAGTGGCCACTGAATCTCCAGCACGCAGCCCAGTGCAGGGACAGAGCAGTGGGTCCTGTGTTTGCTCAGCCTTTTCACCAGAATGTCAATCACATCTGCTCTGCTCACCCCACCACACTCCATGTCTACCATCACATTCTATAAACACGCACCAAGGATATAACGCCTGGCCTAGCGGTTGGAGATGCAGAGACCAGACCTAGCCTTTCTGTTCCTCCTCTTAAGAAACTGAGCCCCTCATGGAGAAGTGAGGCAGACACATGAACATAAGTTTTGCAACAGAAGCACTTTTCACCAGGTAATGCTATGGGAGCAAAGAAGGAAGTAACGGAGCCTGGGGGAACTCAAGATGTTTTCTGAATGAACTTTTATCTCTGAGTAAGAAACAAGGGCGCATAGGCAGAGTCTGCCACCCCTTTCTCTCCTCTCCATTGGGCCTGTGGAGATGGAGTGGGCAGGCACATAATCTGTGGGAGCACAGTGTATTCAGGGGAGTTATACAGTTCCATAGGTCACAGCTGGGCCCAGGGTACACATGAGGGACAAGCCAAAAGTGAGACCGGAAAGCGAGTCGGGGCCATGCCCTGAAGAGCCTGCAATGTGGACTTATCCTGATGCATCAGTCTGTTCTCATGCTGCTAATAAAGACATACCCAAGACTGGGTAATTTATAAAGGAAAGAGGTTTAATGGACTCACAGTTCCACATGGCTGGGGAGGCCTCACAATCACGGCAGAAGGCAAAGGAGAAGTAAAGGCACGTCTTACACGGCAGCAGACAAAGACAGCAAGTGCAGGGGAACTCCCCTTTATAAACCATCAGCTCTTGTAAGCCCTATTCATTCTCAAGAGAACAACACAGGAAAGACCCACCCCCATGAATCGATTACCTCCCACTGTGTCCCTCCCAGGACACTTGGGAATTATGGGAGCTACAATTCAGATGAGATTTGGGTGGGCACACAGCTAAACCATATCACCTGACTACTGACCTTTTTTAAAACTGTGAGTTCAAAGGACCTCAAACTGGGCTGTGGTGGGTGCCTGCTGGTGGGTGATGAGGAAAGGCTGGTCGTTATTTGCAGCCAAGGCTCTGGTCACACAGAATCAGACACAGGCTCAGCAGTGAGCAGCCTTGGCAGGCCTGGAATCCCAGGCTAGTTGTGCCTGTGATTGGTTTTGTTATCAGCACACTTTTCATTTTGGATTCTTTTGGCCATCCCTCTCCTCATTAATGATGTCATCAAAGAAGGAACAGAGCATCACCTCAGGCCCGGTCTCTCCCACTTGCCTTCTTTGACACAAATACTTCTGACATCTTAGATTACGTGTCAGAGGGAACAAGGGTGGAGTCAAATTCGATCTTATGTTTTTTTGGTTTTGTTTTTTAGACAGAGTCTCACTCTATCACCCAGGCTGGAGTGCAGTGGTGCAATCATGGCTCAGTGCAGCCTTGACCTCCTGAGCTTAAGCGTTCTCCCACCTCAGCCTCTGGAGTAGCTGGGACCGCAGGCGTGTGCCACCAGTCCCAGCCTCAAACCTAATCTTACATTGAATGTTTGTTATGTAAGCACACACACAGAGGTGTGCCACCACTCCCAGCCTCAAACCTAATCTTACACTGAGTGTTTGTTATGTAAGCACACACACAGAGGTGTGCTACCACTCCCAGCCTCAAACCTAATCTTACATTGAGTGTTTGTTATGTAAGCACACACACAGAGGTGTGCCACCACTCCCAGCCTCAAACCTAATCTTACATTGGCTGTTTGTTATGCAAAGGTTAAGAGCTGCAATGTGTACAGGCAGATGCCTGCACAGCACAGGTCCAGAGCCGAAGGGTCCCTGAGAAAATACCACGTGTCCCATGTCCATGCCACCAAATAAATACACGGTAGCAGACTGTTTTGATATGTCATGGGATCTTTGAAATATGAATGCCATGCCTTGTTAATCATGAAAACACCTTCTCTCATCTTACTAAAGCACGTTCCACCATGGGCACTGGCCCGACTTTGACAGAGTGTTGAAGGAAGAGCCCATTAGTCCTCCCCAGCCATATATCATACATGTCCAATTTTCTAGCCACTGACAAATGATCTTCATAAAATATGACTAAGTTGTCCAGGAAGCAAAATTTCTCCAGGTCTAGCCAAGAACAATATGAGAAATGCACAACCCCTTCCCGTCCGGGGCAGCTGCATTTCCAAGTGATTATCCATCAGCTACAGGTGACGCATCTCCACGTGGAGGAGACTGCGATTCCAGAAAGGCAAGGCCACATGGGTTCCGTGAGGCCCCGTAGAAGTGAACGTGGCAAAGAAGGGACAAAGAAGGGTGGGCAACCGTATTGGTCAGGAATCTCCAGAGGGACAGATCTGTGGGATGTATGTGTATATGAAACGGAGCTTATTAGGGAGAATTGTCTCACATGCTCACGAGGTGAAGTCCCACCATAGGCCATCTGCAAGCTCGGGAAGAGAGAAGCCGGTAGTGGCTCAGTCCAAGTCCAAAAGCCTCAAAACCAGGGAAGCTGACAATGCAGCCTTCAGACTGTGGCCAAAGGCTGGAGAGCCCCCGGCAAACCACTAGCATAAGTGCCAGAGTCCAAAGGCGGAGGAACCGGGAGTCTGATGTCCAAGGGCAGGAGAAGCTGAAAGAAGCATCCAGCACAGGATAAAGCAAGAAGCCAGAAGAACCAGCGAGTAAGCTTATCTTACCTTCTTCTGCCTGCTTTGTTCTGCCTGCACTGGCAGCCGATGGGATGGTGCCCACCCACACTGAGGATGGGTCTTCCTCTCCCAGTCCACTGACTCAAACGTCAGTCTCCTCTGGCAGCACCTTCACCGACACACCCAGAAATCACACATTACCAGCTATCTAGGCATCCTTCAATCCAATCAAGTTGACAACTAACATTCACCATCACGGCAACAGAAGAAAAATTGGAGAGCGGGGAGCTGGCCAGTGGTGCCCTGCGAGGCCAAGCAGGGGTGCACTTGTATAATTTGCACACTTATAATTTGACATTTATAATTTCCCTCCTATACTCAATGAGGCCCTCGCTTAGAGGACCACCAACATCTAAATTCACTGCAGGATTTTCTCCCACAAGGAAAACCCAGATGTTTTAGGAGAACCTAATGCCATCAGTATGGCTGATGGAATGGAGTCGCTTCCTGCAATGAGCAGATGGTTTTAGGAACAGGACAGAAGGAAGAGGCTTGCTGAGTTGACTGCACTTCTGTCGGAATCAGCTTTCTCAGGAGATGCTCCCCTTGAGCTAAGCAGGGCAACCTTCCCCTTTGCAATCCCCACCCACAGACCCCATTGGAGCAATAAGTATTGTGATCAGGGTACTCATTGGGGACAGTAATTAAATGTCTGTTTGGAGAACACAGGCTCCACAAGGCTAACCAGGCCAACCCTCTGACCCCACGGGGCTGGCCTCTGTGATTCAGAATGGGGATATTACCCCAGGCCCTCAGAGGACACCCTGTTCACTGCTCTCAAAATCCGATCGCATGTTGAGTGGAACATGACACTGATTAGTATTCCATAAAATCCTGTGGATGGCTTAAAGTGGCCTGATTTTAGAGAACTATACTGTGCATGATGCACATTAAGAGAGGAACAGCAATGATTAAAGCATCAGGAAAAAGGAGCTGGAAGCAAAGCTAAGGGAGCTAGGGTTGTCTGACATGAAATAGAGAAACAGGAGGTTTTATAGTTGTCCATTCAGTTATCCTCTTGTGATTTTTTTGATCAATATGAAAGTGCACAGATATGAGACTTATCCTAAGGATGATACTAAAAAGTATGAAATGTTTTTCACACTCAAGCCGAGGAGACAACTTGAGAACAAGGAAAAACGCACATGGAAGAATGAAGTGGCCATCGAAGGGGCAAGTCTGTGGCTGAATGAGGGGTCCCCACAGAAACTAAAGAGGGGCTTGGCCGGGCACGGTGGCTCATGCCTGTAATCCCAGCACTTTGGGAGGCTGAGGCGGGCGGATCACCTGAGGTCAGGAGTTTGAGACCAGCATAGCCAACATGGTGAAACCCCATCTCTACAAAAATACAAAAATTAGCTGGGAGTATTGGTGTGTGCCTGTAATCCCAGCTACTCAGGAGGCTGAGGCGGGAGAATCGCTTGAACCCGGGAGGCAGAGGTTGCAGTGAGCCGAGACTGTGCCATTCATTGCACTCCAGCCTGGGCAACAAGAGTGGAACTCCATCTCAAAAGAAAAAAAAATGGAAGCTAAGGAGGGGCTTTATGGAGACAGTACAATGTGTAAAGGCCCATCACCCATAGAGCCTCAAAGTCCTGACAATCTGTGAGTGTGAGAATAGCTTCATCTTTGAGGTCCAAGTGCCTAGAAAATCTTGGAGGAGGCAGGAAATAGAAATCCAATGTTTACTGAATGAATGAGTGACGAAGGAAGAAGTGAGTAAGACAGTAGGAGCAAGAAGTGTTAACATTCTTTTTTTTTTTTTTTTTTTTGAGATGGAGTATGGAGTTTCGCTCTTGTTGCCCAGGCTGGAGTGCAATGGAGTGATCTCGGCTCACTGAAACCTCTGCCTCCCAGGTTCAAGTGATTCTCTCACCTCAGCCTCCCGAGTAGCTGGGATTACATGCACCCGCCACAGTGCCCAGCTAATTTTTGTATTTTTGGTAGAGATGGGGTTTCACCATGTTGACCAGGCTTGTCTACAACTCCTGACCTCAGGTGATCCGCCCGCCTCAGCCTCCCAGAGGGCTGGGATTACAGGCATGAGCCACTGCGCCCAGCCCAACACTCTTTATATAAAGCTCCATGCAATGTCCTAGTTACAGAATGTAAAGGATTTTTTTGCCTGCATATTTCTTGCCTGTGACAATATTAAACATTGCTGATCACCCCTTTTCTGATAAGATTTCCTCACTTTGCTCCTCCACTTTCCCTTCTAAATGTCCTGCTTTGTTTACTCTTCTCTTTCCATTGTGTGGAATTGTACTGATGTGTGCTGAAAGAAAGAAGGAAAGAAAGAAGAAAGGGAGAGGAGGACAGGGGAAGGGATGGAAGGAGAAAGAGAAAGAGTGAAATCACAGATATTTACTGAGCTCCAGGCTCTAGCTGGATACTCGCACAGTAAATAAGGCAGGTCTGTTCTCTTCGAGGTCTTTCCAGACTGCAGAGAAAGCTGCACAGACAATTTTAATACTGCGTTGTTTGTTGTGGTAGAATTAAGCACAGGATGAGGCTGGAGTGCACAGGATGAACAACTGATCTGAACTGGAAATTACAGAGGAAGCTTTCCAGAACACCACATGGCATTCAGGTTGGTGAGTGTCCAACTGGTCAGTTAGATACAAAGACCTGGAGACAAGAGGCGGACCTCTGGAGGGGTGGAAAGGCCGAAGAGGTAAACACAGGACCAACCACAGCTCCGTGAGGGGCACCGTTGGCAGGACCAGCAGCACGCTGCACGGTCACGGGGAGGTGAGCCTCGTTTGGGGTCTTGACGAGGAAGGGAAGGCTTCACAGCAGAGGTGGTTCGAGGCCTGTCTTAAAGGCCCAGCAGGCTTTTTGTTGATCAGCAAGTGCAGACAGAAGGGAAAGTCCATTTTAGAGAAAGCAGATCATCACCAGCAGGTCACACCTGTGCGGTATGTGCAGTCTGTGTGGGAAATCTCCTGGATGGATGCGTGGGTTAACTGCTGGCGTGGGGAGGGAGGAGGCTGGAAAGGCATGTTGGGACCAGACAGAGAAAGATCACAAACCATTCTAGGGGACGTGGGGAGCATCTGCCAGCAGTGCGGAAGCCCTCGGAAGGCCAGAGCAGATGGTCTTGCCCCGAGTGTGGCTCCATGGAAAGGGACGGAGTAAAGGAGGGGAGGGAGGAGAGGAAGGGGTAGGCTTGAGAGGGTCCAGGCAACAATAGGTCTGGGAGACGGCGGAGGCTCCACTCACTGAAAGAGAAATGAAGTGGGGCAGAGGCTTGGCATGACGGGGGATGGGGCGAATCATCCAGAAAAGTCTGTTGCATGAGGCAGAGAGAAACAAAATTGCTATTCAGGAGCTGGAGAGGAGTTAAGAACAGAAGAAAAGGAAACAGGCAAAGACAAACAGGCAGGTGGTCTTCAATTCTATGTAAGGACTCAGAGAATAACTGGGATTTTTTTTTTCAGTGTATGTTCTAAGGGACTTTCAGTTTGTAAAAATAGCAGTTCTGGTAAAAAAATAAATAAATAAATAAAAAATAAAACTCCCACTTCTACTCTGGAAGTTGATTTTGCTCTATTATAATCTAATCGAAACCTTTTCTGTGAACTCCAGATTCATACATTTATTTCAGTATCCAATGGCATCTTAAACTTTACAAACCAAACATAACCCTAAACCTGTTCCTTTCTCAGCATTCCCAATCTAAAAACAATGGCACTCTATACTTGCAGGGGCTGGGCCAGAAACCTGACTGTTATGCTCCCTAATATCCCACATGTGGTCTGTGGGTCAATCTTGGCAAGTCTCCTTGCAGAACACACTCTCAGTGCTTTCACCCACCACTGCCACCCGGGGCCACGCCAGCACCATTTCTTGACTCGATTACTGCAATAGCTTCTCAAACACCAACAACCATTCATCCCAGAGATCCATCTCAGATTAGGAGTCTCTTCCTTCACACCCTCCAGCAGCCACCCAGCTCACTTTGGTTAAAACCAAAATCCTTAAATAACCAACAGGCACACATGGTCAGGTTCTTCTGACCACTCCTCAGCCACGATGGACTTCGTCATGCTCTTGCACAGACCACCCTCCCCGACCACCCCAGGGCCTTTGCACTTATTCTGTATTCTCAAAATGCTCTTCCTCCAGCTGGCTGTGGTGGTTCACTCCCTTGCTTCATTTAGCTATTTGGGCAAATGTGAACTTTGCAACGTGACCTCTTGGCCACACTTTTAATAATTTTAAGCCATTTCCCTGACCCTCTATATTCATTCCCTGATTTTTTTCCTTTATAATTTATCACCATATAACATGTAATAATTTTTACTGATTCATTTGCTTTTGTTCCCTATGCATTGGAATTCAAAGCCAAGGAAGGCAAGGTTTTTTGTTGCTCACTGCTGTATCCAAGTGCTTAAGAGAGTGTCTGGTGCCTGGAATATATCTGGCATTCAATCAATATTTATTTGTGAATGACGGGATTATTAGGAAAGTCTTCAATTTTATTTTTAATATGAATGGACATTATTGCAATTCCACATAAAGGCAGGATAATAGAGTCGATTATCCTCTATTTTCCTCTGAGTCATATGAGCCCCTATCCTTACATGGAGCAAACCTCCATTTTCTATCACTGAATTTACATTTTTACTCTCTGCAAAATATGTGCCTATCTTCCTAAAAATCATAAATCTGTCCACTGCATCAGTATATTAGAACAAATCCTGATGTGATTGTTTGCAAAACAAATTTAAAGGCTCTTTAGTTTCTGCCTGTATGAGCAGATTGGCATGATTTAAAGTGTAGACATTTTATGGGGCAAGAATGAGTTTAGATATTTGTTTTATTTATACAGACATTTAGAAGTGGACATTTACTAGTGCAAGTATCATTATCAATTTCTTTGCAGAGGAAAGGTTAAGGGAGTATATATCACTGCCAAATGCAATAGCGATCATGGAGGCTCCCACAATAGGGCCATTCCTCTCTTTCTTCTCCTTCTTGACTTGGATCCTGAAATGCAGGCAAACTATAGACATCCACCCTTCTTCTGCCCTCAGTAACATAAAGAGATGGGGCACATCACCCTGTGGCAAGCAGAGCCAATCCCTGGAGCTCAATGCTGTAAGCAAAAAGCTGAGCAAGTCCCTAGGAGATCTGTCTCCAGACCATAGTGTGTTAGACAAAATCTTTGTTTCCTTCTTGGAGGCCCCTCTAATTACCTGCCTAGACCTGAGTCTCACTTTATTAATTAAATCTCCTGAAACTTTGTGATTTTAAAAAAGATGACCACAAATTCTTTGATACCTGTATTCGTCCATTCTCACACAGCTAATAAAGACATACCCAGTACTGGGTAATTTATAAAGAAAAGAGGTTTAATTGACTCACAGTTCAGCATGGCTGGGGAGGCCTCAGGAAACTTACAATCATGGCAGAAGGGGAAGGAAACATGTCCTTCACACGGCAGCAGGAAGGAGAAGTGCTGAGCAAAAGGGGAAAAGCCCCTTATAAAACCATCAGATCTCGTGAGAACTCACTATCATGAGAAAGCATGAGGGTAACCATCTCCACGATTAAATTACCTCCCACAGGGTCCCTTCTCCAACATAATCCAACAGGATTATGGGAGCTACAATTCAAGGTGAGATTTGGGTGGGGACACAGCAGAACCATATCAATACCTCTCCCTTCAAGAGGTGGAGCCTTGTGTCTGGGCTGGATTTTATGAATTGCTCCTAATGTATGTGGCAGAAGTGAGTGAGCACAACCCATAAGACTAGATCACAGGAAGGGGCTGCGCTGCTGTCTCCACCAACCTCCCTCCCACCACTCCCTCAGTCACTTGTTCTGGGAGAATCCAAATGCCACATGATGAGGAAGGGCCTACGTGGCTAGCACCCAAGGCCTCCTGCCAGAGGCCACATAAGAGAGCCTGGACGTTGCCCTGCTGCCTCCACAAGCCCCCAGGTGACAGCTGCCTCAGCCAGCACTAGCTGCGTGCTCCTGGAAGGCCTGAGCTAGAGTACCAGCCAGTCTGCTCCCAGATCCCTGCTACCCAGACCCTGTGGGTAACAAATGTGCGTAGTTTTAAGCCACTAAGTGTTGGGGTAATTTATTACATAAGTGTCTAATTTCATCTTCAAATAGTGATAATCCTGTATTTTAAATACATAATAATTCTGTTTAGCAAAATCATCTGGAGTACAGAGGAATTCGATCATCTGTTTTACATTCTCAAGTTTACTGAGCATGTCCAGTGTGAAGCCCTGTCCAGGTATGCTGGAGCAATAGCGTTCAATCAGACGGGTCCTGCCCTCAAAGGGCTCGCAGCACGGCGGGAGAGTGGAGGTGTGCCCTGCACATAGAGGCCTCGGAACAAGCGATCATTGCTGCTGCTCCTGCTGTTGTCAGACTCAGCCTCTTCTTTCATGGGATGGGCCAAAATAAGCCCACTTCTGAGGGTGTTTGTAGGACCCTGGCTTTGTAAACTCTGGTAGGAGACTGAGTGGCCGCCTGACTGTGGATATGTAGTTGGCTGGTTCCAGGTACACCCAGGCTACAGCAAAGGGAGTGACTCACATTGCAGGAAAAACTGACGAGACTGCTAGGAGGCCAGCAAGCGGAGGCTGGGCATCCTCCAAAGCAGGCTGTGCAGTGTGGAGACAGGCAGCTGCAGTGAACGCCAGGTCCATCCCATCATCTCTACCTACAAGGGGAGCACACGGTGAATACCCAACAAAACCGTGGGTCTTTCCTCTCAGAGTCTGATCCATTTCTTGAGCCAGCCTTGCTACACAACCATAACTACTAATACCTGGTTTTCTAAAAATATAAATCACGTTGACCTTTGCTGTTGTTGTTATAAATATAATTGATGTTAATAATGAAACATCTGGAATAATATAGAAAGAATAAACTAGAAATCATTTAATCATAATTTCACACACAGAGACAGCCAATCTAGTATAGTCATTATACTATTTTTACTAGTATTTTTAATCTATTATTTATAAGATTTGGTCTCTATATGTAGTTTTAGATTTTATTCTCCCACTGTTTTCACTTAATGTTGTAATATAGAGATTTTCTTACATAATAAAAAATCTTCCAAAGTATGATTTTAATTATGAAATATTTTATTATGCAGACATAGCACAAATACCAAGATTTAAAATGTTTTACTTTATAAACCAAAAGCATAAAGGTATTGCCTCAATAGCACCTTATGCACACTAGCGATTTCCTTTTACTGACTTGCTTAACTGATCCATAATCATTCTTATATAAATACCCACTGTTGGCATTTACCTCTTGCCATTTTCTAGAACTGGAATTACCAGGTTGATAACTGGAGAACTTTATCAAGTTAACTCAATGTCCCTGAAAAATTTTTCTTATCTGTATAAAGGGGACATGAGATTATTTACGGCATTTCACTATAATACACACTAAGTTGATAGCATGGGTAGATAAATCTTTGTGTGCATAAAAAGGCACAGTGAGGACATAACCCAGATCCCACTCGCTTTCCACGACACCCAGCTGCCTTCTTGTTCTAATTCATGTAAATCATTAAGGGTATTTTAAAAGGTTCTAATGTTGCCTCTGAAGTCAGCCCCACCCAAGCTATAACCTGGGCAACAGGGGAAACCGGGGGCGATGTCACACCTCAGCTCTGTTCCTTCCCCTTCCCAGCCCGCAGCTCCTGGGAGAGAAGCAGAAATCCAGTCCCCTCGACTCCCTGGTCTCGCCTGGAACTTAGCTCTCACCTGGGACTCAGCTCCCAGAGTGAAAGGGATTGTCCTGTAGCGTGAACGATGAGTGACACCCGCACCCTCCCTTGTAAATCTGCTCCAACAAGCTCTCCTCCAGGACGCTGTCTTTTCTGTGCTATCGAGCACAGCCCTGACATTACAGCTGGCCTTGCAGACATCACCAGACGACACCCAAGAAAAATGGCAGCGCCAGAGCCGTGAGCATCACAGGAGGTCTCAGGGACACGCCAAGGCCGCCTCCCAGGAAAAAGCAGAACACCGGAAAAGACCTTGTGAAGACTTCTTATCTTCCCCTCCAAATGGTGTCTCTTGCTTTGGCTCTTGTCGAGTTGGGGCTTGTTGGAAGACCAGGTGAAGGCCCAGCTGCTAAAGCTTCCCCTTTCTACTTCTTGTTACTCTATTACTCAATTAGGACTGGTGCTGATTTAGGGGAAAAACATTATTTGAAAACACAGAGGTTCCCTCTGCTTTGATCCTACACAGGCAGAGATATCTCCAAGCAGAGAGATCCAAAAAAGAGCGCCCCCTGCGGGAAACGTTCTTTTAATTTAGACTTTGCCGTTCCTCCTGTGGAGACGTTGTCACAGTTACAGTAGTGGGTGATACATCCCCAAATTTCTGCCACGTGCTCAGAGAGCTAAGGCATATCCCACACCCACGACAAGCTTACAGGTGTGAACCTGGGTCCAGGCAGGTGCCCTGTTCCTAACTCTGGTCTTGGACGTGTGATTTAAGCCAGGCCTCAGTTTCCTTGCTCACAGATGTGGATCCCAGGAGCTGCCTCAAATACTTGGAGGCATGAATGGTTCTAAATCACGCATGCCATGCCTGACACATTAACCCCCCATTCTCTTCACTGTGCAGGGTGAAACAACAGACAGCAACCCAGCCTGGGCAGCACATGTCCTGCACCTGGGCTGTGCAGATACTGAGAGCTTCCTGCCTGGAGTGGAAATTCCTGCAGCATGCATGCAGAAAGGAGATGGCCAGGAAGTCCCAGGAAGATGTAGAAAGTAGAAAGGGAGGCAAGAGCGAGGAGTTCTCATTTGGGAGAAAGGCTCACCAGTGAGGCAGGAAGTGACCTTTGGAAACATGCGAGAACCAACGTGCATGGGTCCTCACCAACTTACTCTCAGCAGCGAGGCCTGCCAACAAGAAGGCATAGGCTCACCAGCTGCACACGGCTAATGCTCACCCAGCACCACCCTGCCTGTCCGTGCATCTGCTGTGCACGTCAGAGGTCAACTACACGTCCCAGTGGTAGCCATATGAGGACAGTGCTGGTCCCAGAGAACAACACTGATATAAGACCCAGAGACTGGAAATCTGCCACTCCACACTCCTTCCCTCAGAGAAGGTAAGAAATGAGAATTTTATACCCTCTCCAGCTCTGAACATGCCTCCTAGCCATGCCTCTTCTTCACAACTGTGAGATCACCGCAAACATAATTCAGCACACAGAGCCTGAATCCTTATTTCCAGATAACATGAGCAGAAACATGCAGCTCTCTCTGCGCCGAACCAAGTCCCAGTGACTATATCACACCACACCAAATCACACAGACGTGGAAAACTCCACCAGGGCCAGCACTCTTCCCTAAGAACTCAACTGCCTGCATGCAACGGTGCTAACTTTCCCTTGAACAATCCGACAGAGCCGCGTGTTGATGGGAACGTCCCCTGACCTTTCAATCAATGTTTATGAATTTGTATCGCAAAGCATCCCGGGAAACTGTGCATGCTAACTGGCCCGAGGATGATCTTGCATCTATTATGAAGCGAATGGCCCATTCCTCAAGGAGGAGTTCTCCCGGGGATACCGTCTGTCTAGCTAGGATTCAATATACATATTTTGTATACCTGTATTTTATATAGATAATTTCTAATCATTTTAATTGTTCAACATTCTTACCCCAGAGCCTCCCTTTTCAGACTTAGAAATTGCTGCAGAAAACCTCATTCTTCTATGCCAGCAGGAATTAAAGGAAACACCCTTGGCCCAAACATGAAAGGAACTTTAATAGGAAACACACTGTAATGGGCACACACAGGACCCAGGGTGGGAAGGACGCGTGGCGGGATCCCCCTACCCACACCCACACCACACGTGCCACACAGCCATGCCGTGGCTCATCCCAGGGTTCTGCCGATCAGCCAAAGCGCCTCCCTGCCTCACGCCTGCATTTACTAACTTCAGAAGACAGGACTACCAAGTGGAAAGAAGTTGAGGTAGGGAGATGTAGTGGCTCCAAGTGGTGGGGGCACAGCCTCAACAGAAGTTTGTGTGTGTGTGTGTTTGTGTGTGTATGGTGTGTGTGTGTGTGGTGTGTACAGTGTGGTGTATGGTATACAGTGTTTGTGTGTGTGGGTATGTATGGTGTATGTGGTGTTTGCATTTGTGTGTGTGGTTTGTGTGTGGTGTATATGATATGGTATGTGGGATGTGTTGGTATAATATGTGCAGTGTGTGTGGTGTGTATGATGTCGTATGTGGAATGTGTGGTATGTGGTGTGTGCTGTGTGTGTGATGTTTGTGGTATGTATGATGTATGGAAGAAGTGTGGCATGTAGTGTGTTATGTGGTGTATGTGGTACTGTGGGGTGTGTAGTATGTGTTGTGTGTGGTGTGTATGATGTGGTATGTAGGATGTGTGGCATGCGGTGTGGTATGTGATGTGGTATGTGGTATGTGCTGTGTGTGGTATGTAGGATGTGTGTTGTGTGTGGTACATGTGGTATGTAGTGTGTGGTATGTTATCTGGTGTGTGTGTGTGTGGTGTGATGTGTAATGCGTGTGGGGTTTGGAGTGTGTGTGGTATATAGTGCAGTGTGTGTGGTGTGTTTGTGTGTGTGCTGTATGTGTGGTGTCTGGTGTGGTGTGGTGTGTGGTGTGTACAGTGTGGTGTATGGTGTACAGTGTCTGTGGGTGTAGGTGTGCGTGGTGTGTGTGGTGTTTGTGTTTGTGTGTGTGGTTTGTGTGTGGTGTATATGATGTGGTATATGGTGTGTGTGGTATGTGATGTGGTATGTTATGGGGTGTGTGTGGTGTGTGTGTGTGGTGTGTAGGATGTGGTATGTAGGTTGTGTGGCATGTGGTGTGTTATGTGCTATGTGTCATGCGTGTGTATGCTGTGTATGATGTGGTGTGTAGGTTGTGTGGCATGTGGTGTGGTATTTGATGTGTGTGTATGGTGTGTATGATGTATGTAGGATGTATGGCATGTGGTGTGTTATGTGCTGTGTGTCGTGTGTATGGTGTGTATGATGTGGTATGTAAGTTGTGTGGCATGTGGTGTATTTGGTGTGTGTGTGGTGTGTATGATGTATGATGTCATATGTAGCATGTGTGTTATGTGGTGTGTTATGTTGTGTGTGTGGTATGTGGGGTGTGTATTATGTGATATGTGTGTGTGGTGTGTGTGTGTGGTATTCGAAGGTAAGAGTGGTGCTTGCCTCACCTGCCCATGTACTAAAGTTGGAAATATGTGGAGAAGCTCAGCATAGCCATAGCTCTTGCACAAGGTGATGCAAGCTCACGACGGCTCCATATTTTCGTAGAATGCCAACTGATGGGCACAGATGGAGAAATGAAATTAGAAGATTGCCATCTGACAACCATTGTAATAATACTTGACTTGGGTAAGAATCATCAATGCATGCCCAAACTAGGAGGTGAAAATTTGATGAGTCAAAAGATATGAATATAGTCCGAAAAAATCGCCCCACAATTACTTGTTCATTTCAAAGGAAATAGAGCAACCTACGGTGGGAAAACCTTACAGACACCACCTTAAATAAGATATCAAAATGACTATCCCCAGCAGGACACACTGATATCACGTGCCTCTTGATATGATGCATGGCAAGGACACAACATCACTTCTCTAGGATTCTGGCCAAAATTCTAATTATGAGGAAACATCAAACAAATCATAGTGATGGGCACTGTACAGAAAACCTGTTCTGTTCTGAAAAATGTAACGGCCATAACAGGTAAAGAAAGAGGGAAGAAATATTCTAGTTGAAAGGAAATTAAGGAGACAGAGCAACTACACACACTGGAGGCCTGGGTGGATCCCAGACCAAGGTGGCAGTGGTCCACAGTGTGCCAGGGAGCAGGTGAAACTGGAATGTTGATGCCAGGTTAGACGCCGATACTGTGCCAACTGCGAATATCCTGATTCTGGTCACGGTCCTGTGCCTCTGTAAGAAAATGCTCTTTTTATTGGTAAATACAGAAAGAGAGAAAATAATAAAGTAAATGGAGCAAAATGTAAACAATTGGTCATCTGAGTAAAGGATATAAATAGGTCATAGTATTTTTGCAACTGTTCTGTAAATTAAAAATTCCACCTAAATAAACAGATACAATACACAGGTGGGAGAGCAGGTAGGCAGATGGTCCAGTCTGTGAGAACCCCTTTCTGCATAAGCACAGCTCCCACCCCTGATGTCATGTCATGGATAAATAAATGCAACATCCTGGAAATTGTTGAGAACCACCAAGGGTCAGCCAGCCCATCATCCCAATCACTGTGATGTCCACACGTCCTAGATGAAACTGATGTGAGATTTTTGCAAAATCCTGCCTTTTCTGAACCTTGCTTTGGACAGTTTATAAAAGCTGCACGATGAACAAAATGCTGGGTAGTGAATGTCCACATCACCTCCTTGCGTTACTGACCCAGTCTCTTCATCTGGTACATCGGGAGGGTCAGCAGAGGCAGTGACACCGCCCTATCTCCTAAGGCCATGTGGTGAGGGGGGGAAGAGGAGGTGAGGAAGGCAGGGCAGGGGGCCCTTTCTTAGGGACCTTATCCTTTCTCTTAGGGACCCTTGCCTGTCAGATTCACCAGCTTCTGCTCTCTCTCTGTCCCTCAAGCAAAAAACTGCCATTGTTATACTGCGAGAGACTTTCTCAAATGCTTCTGACGGGACATAACTAACACAGCAGGCTCTCTGCTGCCTACAAACTAGGGAACACATTTTCTTCCTACAAGGAGGGCTGATAGAAACTTTTCTTCTGCCAGGGTTACAAGAAATGCATTCAGATAACCCAGGAAATAGAAACATGCCCAGCTATGAGAAGCTATAAGTCTGCTCAACAGAAAGCCATAGACCGCTCAAAATACGTAAGCCCTTGGCTGCTGGACTGAGATTCTACCTGCACCCCTGAGGAATTGCTGGAGGTTTCTAAGCAGGGGAGGTGGAGGATTCCTATTTGCTGTGAGTGCCCACTGATCACAGGCTCTGTTTCTTTCTTGTTCCCTTCAAGGTTGGCTCAGTTCTTCTGGGAACCTAAAGGCTTCCCAATAAATACGACTGAATTGCACAGAATTTATTTATTTATTTATTTATTTATTTTGAGAAGGAGTCTTACTCTGTCGCCCAGGCTGGAGTGCAGTGGCGCAATCTCGGCTCACTGCAAGCTCCACCTCCTGGGTTCACAGCATTCTCCTGCCTCAGCCTCCCGAGTAGCTGGGACTACAGGCACCCGCCACCACGCCTGGCTAATTTTTTTGTATTTTTAGTAGAGACGGGGTTTCACTGTGTTAGCCAGGATGGTCTCGATCTCCTGACTTTGTGATCCGCCCGCCTCGGCCTCCCAAAGTGCTGGGATTACAGGCATGAGCCACCGCAAACGGCCCAGAATTGAATTTTGAAAGTAGCCACACAAACTATTTATGGCTCCAGGCTAATATGGAAAAAGCTTAAGGACAGTAATTTAAACAAGGTGAGTAAAAGCCAAGGATTGGATTCAGCTTTTCTTACCAGTTCCACCTGGGGTCCCTGGTGCCCTCAACAACCCACTGAACCTCTGTGCTTCTCAGCTCAACGGACCAGAAGCAGCAAGTCCAGCCTCTGCAGGCGCCTCTATGGGCAATGGTGGTGGTGGTGGTGGCTTTGTATTCCCAAAAAAATATACTTTTTGATACACAAGGGGTCTGTATTTAAAATGAAACATTTTTCAAGGTTTTATTCTTCCTGTTATGGATGGGAATACAAACCTTAGATTTCAAAACATACTTCTCAATAGGCATATCCACATATTAAACTAAATGCAAGAGGATTTAAATGTTTCAAGCCAATTAGCAACCGGATCCTAAGCTACACAGAACCTGAACCTTTGTTTGTGGACCAACAGCATCTTAGCTCCTTGGAGCATGTGGCCAGTTGGCTCATTGTATGAATTTGCAGGTCGGGGGATAGCATTACCACAGCCTAGAGCAGAAACCCCCTCCCCACCAGCAGTGAGGGTCCTCGAAGTGTGAAGACTGGGAAAGATGAAGGCTACTTTGCTGCTCACGACCCAACGAATGGCTCCAGAGACTGAGATCCACACAGCACCCGCTTTTGCCAAGTTCCATGGCCCCATGCCTGGAAGAGTCTGAGGAACTGAGGCTTCCAAGGCTTGCTCATCACATCTTCACAGGCATAGAAATGGAGGAGAAGAAAGGATGTTTTCTTTCTTATAGTATTTACAACAAAATAGTCTGGTCTCACTTGAATTCCTCATAATAAAACATATGGTCTTGAACCCTATGCCAGCATTGGAACCTCTAAAGGTGGACAGGGCTTAGGATGCTCCAAGAACGGCGATTCTCACCTTTGGGGTTCTGACACTTGATAATTGTGCTAGTGAAATCTGCTACTGATAATGATTAAAGTCTCGCTCTGTAACTAATTTATTTAAAAAAATAAACCAGAGAAGATTAAAGTTGATACCTCAGATAACCACATTCTGATTTCCTTGCATTTCACGTCGATTTCATGAGTGGGGTAGAGTTTTGGTGCCTGCGTGAGGACTGCCGTGGGAATGAGCTGTGGATGTTGTGGGTCACGGATGTTGTCAGTCAGTCGTGTGTGTGGAGCAGCAAGGCAGGGTGAGCCTCTGATTAGTGCAAGTCACCTGCTCTGGGACAGGCACTGCCTTTGATACTTTACTTTGTGGTCTCATTTAACACCCAACACAGTATTGTGAGACAATTAGTATTGTCCTCACTTTACTGGGGAGAACGGAGGGGTGTGGTGAGTTGAGCAAAGCCATTAAGTTAGAAAATGATAGAACCAGGACTTGGGTTAAATCTACCTAGTTCTAAAATCCACATTCTTTGCTGACCCCTCACTACCTCCATCTGAGGCAGAAATCCCCTCCCTAGCATTGGCAATAATTGGACAGCAGTCTCTATTTGAACGTCTTAAACGAAAGAAAAAAATCACAATTCCTGGAGACTCGCATTCCACGTTTTGAACACTTCTGATGGAAATGTTGGACTTGCATTCAGCTAAAACCCTCTCTTTACATCCCTTCAGTTAATCCAAGTTATGCTGTCATGAGTCACTCTTCAGAAATCCAATTCTGCTTCTGTGACATAGATTCTGAATTGTCTGAGGACAATTTTGTAGGGCACACAACTTTAGTGTTTTCAACTACTTCTCACTCCATGAGGTCCTGGCTCTGTGACTTCCGGGCTGGACGTGCTCTGAGCCACATCCTTCCAGAGGACAGGGCATGCTCTCCACTGTGCTGCCTGACACTCCAGCCGGAGCCGCACGTGGCTCCAGTTCATCTGAAATGTGGCCAGTGCCAGAGCAACTGTTTTAAATTTTCATTAATTTTAATTACATAAAATTTAAATATCCACAGGTGGTTAGAGGCTACTGTATCAGAGAGCACAGACCCGGACCTCCTCAGGAAAGCACGAGTTTCTCTTAAAAATGTGTCTCCTAGAACTGAGCACAGTGCTCCAGAGATAACTGGTCATCACTGTGCCTCTATTCTACAGACTCCATAGCACTAGCTGCCCAGGGGCCACATCCCCCAGTGACCCATCTCACACTGAGACTCAACTGTAACCTGTAAGACCTTTGCACATCTGCTGCTATCAAGTCCCATACCTCCCATTTTTACTTGACTTCCCCAGGCAGGAACTTCAGGGCTTCCAAACAGGGTTTAGATGAAGGAAGTAACTAGCATAGCTGGGGAGAGTTGCCTGAATTGCATGGACACTGATGAGCAGGGAACGGGGCTCCCGCAAGTCATGGTGTTTGGAAGCCAATAACCCTTGAAGATGGAGTTCACCATACAGCAGTTCTCAGAAAGCCACCAGTGTCTCAGAAGAGAGGGCACCGAACATCTCAGGGAAGACGGCAGGCATCGTGGCTGGTGTTGCCACGTGATGGGCCAGAATGGAATGCAGCTACTGCAGCCCAAGCCCCACTGGGCCAGAAGTGGGGATGTTAGGCAGGCAGAGAGCACAGCCCCTCCCAGAGCAAAGCCCTAAAAGATAGTCAAGGACTCTGCTAGGCCAAGTGGATGGTTGTTTCCGTTTCAGCCAATGGTGCTGGGGCAGGTGCTGTGCCACGAGGGGCTTCCCATCACTCCACCACTCCAAAAGTGTGGTCACAAGACTGGCTGAGAGGGTAGATTCCAATGAGGGACATAAGAATCTGTCCTCCACCCCAGCACACCCAGGAAGACAAGAGGCACAAGAACCAGGCTCTGCAGCAGGTCTGTGCATTCAGTGAACACCCGATGAAATTTCCAACACTGCGCGAAGTGCATTTTTGGCATTTGTAGAAGGTGGCCCCTGTTCTCAGGATGGGATGTCACTCCAATGACCTTGCATACATGTGTGTCTATATGTCTGTATTTAATAATCCCCAAATGCAGTAGCTTTGGGTAATAAATACCTGTGAGTTTCTTTGAGTACCACCCCATGTTTACTTGACCACTGGGCTCTAAAATTTAACAAATCCTCAGAGAACCATGTCTGGCTAGAAAAGCAAGAACGGGGCAGCAAAGGACCAGAGGACCTTTTAAACTAAGAGCCTTCATTCTCTCTTGGCTTGGATTAGGGACGGACAGAGAGAAACACCAGAGAAGAACGATCACTCACTGTTAAAAAGGCTCTCTAGCTGAGTGTGGCTTTTAGTGAGAAGTGTCCTTCCAAGGTCCCTAGCCTGCGGCTAATTCTCTCCTCTGTTCTTACACTCCATGTTTGCTCCCAGCTACGCTTGCTCTCACTCTCTCCCTCCAACCCATATTCAGTCCTTCTTCAGCTGTAAAGAGCAGACAGAGTAGTCTTTGAAAAGCACAGTTCAGCTCCCATTACTTGCCAATTTAAACTCTTCAGTGCCTTCCTGCTACTCTTATAATGAAGCTAAAATCTGTGCCATACTCTGCAAAGTCCCGAGAGGTTGGTGCTGACACCTGCTCGGCTTCATCTCACACCACTCCTTTCCCTTCCTTGTGTGCCAGCCAAGTGGGCATTCTGTCAGCCCCGTGACACTCCCTCCTGTCCCACAGCCTCATTCGAGCTGTTCCTTTGCATGGACAATGTTCTCTTCTGTTCCAAACTAGTGAGCACCTACTGACACTTTAGCTGTCAGCCTATACATCCCTTTCTTGGGAAAAAAATATGTAACATCACCCTGCACCTCATTCTCAGCAGCCACATCCCACTCACTGGTCTCCCTGAACCACATCATTTCATTTGATAACAGTCCTCAGATGTGTAATGTTATATGTATGGGTGAGATATTTAACAGATCCCTGGCTTCTTCACTGGGCCCTTAGCAATATACAAGTAGGCTCTACTTTAGGAGGCCAAGGCAGGTGGATCATGAGGTCAGGAGTTTGAGACCATCCTGGCCAACATGGTGAAACCCTGTCTCTGCTAAAAATATAAAAATTAGCCGGGCGTGGTGATGGGCCCCTGTAATGCCAGCTACTCAGGAGGCTGAGGCAGGAGAATCGCTTGAACCTGGGAGGCAGAGGTTGCAGTGAGCCGAGATTGCGCCACTGCACTCCAGCCTGGGTGACAGAGCGAGACTCCATCTCAAAAAAAAAAAAAAAAAAATAAGCTCTGTGGTTGTTTCTGCTCACTGTATATCTGCAGAACTGTGCCTAGCAACTGGTCCATGCTCAGAAACGAGCCCTGAAATGGAACATCGTGTAGGGCAGCAGATGGAACAGAATGAGAAAGGGGTTGTGTCTGAGGGGTTGGTCCAAGTGCCATGTGGATTCACCAGGGCTCACCACAGTGCCCTTCCTGCTGCTGCCACTTTCTTTATGGGTAAAGTCAGTCCTGTGTCAGGGCCAGCACAGCATGAAAGCCAAGGAAAAACACACCTGCAGCCTCTATACCCTGCTCGGCATGCTGTGTTTTCCTCCTTCTTTAGTTACAGTGCTATGGCTCCTGTGTCTAGAAAGTTTCTCCAAGTTGCCTAACCCTGCTCACCCAGGGTCTCTGAATTTCTGATGAGCTATGCCCTTCTCATATTTGTATTCATTCATCTTGACCTGTCTCAGGTCCATTGGATTCCAAGGTCTTTGGGAGAAATAATCATAGAGAATTTATGTCTCTATCTCTAAATAACCAGGACAATGCAATGTTTTCTTAACACCTTCATCAAAGGTCTATATTTTGATTTGGCTTAGAAATAAATGCTGGCTGGGTGCGGTGGCTCACGCCTGTAATCTCAGCACTTTGGGAGGCCAAGGCAGGCAGATCACGAGGTCAGGAGTTCAAGACGAGCCTGGCCAACATGGTGAAACCCTGTCTTACTAAATATATAAAAAATTAGCCAGGCATGATGGTGAGCGCCTGTTATCCCAGCTACTTGGGAGGCAGAGGCAGAACAACCGCTTGAACCTGGAAGGCAGAGGTTGCAGTGAGCCAAGATCGCGCCATTGCATTCCAGCCTGGGTGACAGTTTGAGACTCCATCTCAAAAAATAAATAAATAAAAATAAAAAATAAGTACTAAGCATACTAGGAAAGTTAAAGTTGCAATAGAAAGCCATGGCTTCTTTTTTAACTCTCAGTTTTTTATGACATAATTTCAGGGTCAGTTTCTCAATTCCCTTCTGCCTTAACTTCTGGGACTCGACATAAACAACATCACAGTTCCAGAAAACAAGTAGTACAACAAAGAACTTACTGTGTTCGTTCAGCAAACTTTAAAAACTTACTTATTAGGTATCACATATTTTCTGAAAATAATAGACATTAAAAAGAAGTATAAAATGCTTACTGTCTAGTTGGCGAGATGCATTAATGACTAATCACTATTTAAGAGATGTCAGAAGACAGTGAACGGTAAAGGCCAATTGAGTACAAGAGGCGAGAGAGTTTTCAGTTCAGATGAGGTAGATATTACTGCAGAATGTCCGGAAAAGCTTGAGAGCAGCGATGGGGTATTCTTTGGGATGGAAAAGAAGTTGAGAATTGGATAAAATGAAATATAAAAGAACATTCCAGATGGAGAAACTATATCAGCCCAGTGTGTAGGCTAAGTCAGTAACTGCTAAATGCCTGTCCACGGATTGCTGGTCTTTAAAGAAGCTCTTTTTTTTTCTTTATTCTTTCCCTTTCTTACTCTAGGGATAATGAAGCTCTTCTGAATTTGTGGCAAAATTAAAACAAAAGAAAAAGAGATACAACAAGGTTTTATAAATGCATCTTTTTTTTTTTTTTTGAGACGGAGTCTCGCTCTGTCGCCCAGGCTGGAGTGCAGTGGTGCGATCTCAGCTCACTGCAAGCTCTGCCTCCCGGGTTCACGCCATTCTCCTGCCTCAGCCTCCCAAGTAGCTGGGACTACAGGCGCCCACCACCATGCCCGGCTAATTTTTTTGTATTTTTAGTAGAGATGGGGTTTCACCATGTTAGCCAGGATGGTCTCGATCTCCTGACCTCATGATCCTCCCGCCTCGGCCTCCCAAAGTGCTGGGATTACAGGCGTGAGCCAACGCACCCAAGGCATCTTTTTAAAATTAAGGAGCCATGATATTTGTTCTGAAAATGTTTTTCCCACTTTTTGATGTTAAAATGTCCTTCTGCTTTTGAAATTACGGTGATAGAAATGGCAGTTGGTATTTTTTTCAAGCTAGATCATCAATTTGTTGTTAGGTTAGATCGCCTCTCTCCATGTACCATTAAAACAGAAATGCTGGCATCTACACACTACCAGGGGACCTACCTGCAGCCAGGGAGTATGTGTTTGCAGGATGAGGCTGGAAAGGCGGCTTGGTTCCGCTCATGAACATTTAGACCAAGGCTTCCCTTCTCATGCTAGAATTATAGAAATGCTTTTGAGAAAAATGTGACATGATGAAAATGGAGTTTGGGGGACACACGCAGTCTCCTTAGAAAATATCACTTGCAGATAAATCTTGAGAACCCTTGTAAGTCTATTTGTTCTTTTCAATGTTATTTTTACCATTTTCCTCCTGCTAAACTGAAACCAGCATCCCTCTTCATTCTTCTCAATGGGCAGAACCCAAGCTCTGACTCCTTTGGCACCCTCTGGTGCTTCAGAAAGCCCTGAGCTTTGTTCTGAGGCATGAGTTAAAATCTCTCCTCCAGTATGTTTTCTAGCTGAATGACAAATTCAGTTTCTCCAACTTCAAACCAGAGAGACTTAGATGGTAGACTCTGCACAGAAAAGCATATTTAAACTCCCAAGCATCTTATGAGTTATACTAGGCTTCTTGGGACCCCTCAGAACACTGCTCCATCTCAATTCTAGCCCCCAAGGTTTAGGTGAACCTCACGATTCATAAGGCAGCTGTTCTCCCATTTCCCACACTTCCTCTCAATACCTGTGATTCAGGAAGAACATGGAAATATCCATGCCTGTCTTAATGGATGAAGCTAACTGCACCAAGAGATTGGAGCCTGTCCCAGGAACAGGCTGGAGGCACTGCATGGAACCTGGGATTGGCCGTTCCCTCCTCAGGGCTCTCATAGGAAGATGCCTTGGGCATGCATGGCTGGTGAGAAAACATGAGATCCCTGTTCTCTTCTTTCTCCTTTATTTGAAACAGCTGAAGCTAAGTCCCTGGAGCTGTCCCCATAACCATCTATACCTAGACCTCAGTCATGCTGAAGAGAAGTGGTGCTCAGCATTTTGAGCTGTGGCTTAGGGTATTAAAAAATAAAAGGAAGAGAAGGGAAGAGGGCATGATGGAGGCTTGGGTGACCAGGAACCAGAGACTCAGAGGTGGGTAGGGAGGATGGCAACGCTATTCTCCTTCAGAACTTCCATGTCTATAGGCCTCTTTCATTTCCTGGTACCTGAAGAGAGATAAACAAGAGGAGGAAAGACACTGGGTATTCTGCACAGAGTCTGCCAACCTGAGTGGCTGGGATATTTCTTCTGCAAGGAGGGCTTCCATGGGCTTCTGCAAGGAGGGCTTCCTCATCCCTTAGAACAGGTAGTCAAAATGAGGCCCATGTAGCAGCCCAGTGCACTGCAAAGAAGCACAACAACTAACCAACTCCTCGCTAATCCAACTAGTCAATTAAATGATAGGCATAGGCCGGGCACGGTGGCTCACGCCTGTAATCCCAGCACTTTGGGAGGTCGAGGTGGGCGGATCACGAGGTCAGGAGATCGAGACCATCCTGGCTAACACAGTGAAACCCCGTCTCTACTAAAAAATACAAAAAATTAGCTGGGCATGGTGGCGGGCGCCTGCAGTCCCAGCTACTTGGGAGGCTGAGGCAGGAGAATGGTGTGAACCCGGAAGACAGAGCTTGCAGTGAGCTGAGATCGCACCACTGCACTCCAGCCTGGGTGACAGAGTGAGACTCCGTCTCAAAAAAAAAAAAAAAAAAGAAAGAAAAAGAAAAGATAGGCACACACAGCACCATCCTTCACAGTGCTCTGTCCTTTAATACTCCTCAAGGCTTGTGGAGGCTGACTTTCATTAAGGGAGTTCTAGGCGGCAGCAGGACCAGCACTAGCAAACTTGATTCTATCAGCCTTGAAATGCAAACTGAGCCATTATGCTGCCTCTGACAGTGGAGGAAGGGGTGAGGGTCCACAGGCGGTTGTTACCTAAGAAAGGAATGGCAACTAATGCTTAGTGGGCCCCTTCTGTGAGCCAGGACTTTCTGCACTTCATGTCGTTTAATGGAACTGGGGGTGTTCTTTCCATTCCTGAAATGATTGTGTTGTTGAAATTAGGTGACTTCTTGCCACTCCTCACTGCAATAACTGGGATTTGACTCTCAGCGGTATTACTCCAAAAGCCATGCTTTCCTCTCCATCCTCTCCATAAGTTCAGTGTTTGACCCTGGATCAATTTTCCACCTTTCCCTGGATTTTGTTTTCTCCTCTATAAATTAGGATGTATGGAGAATAACAAAACAACCCCTATGATACAATGGCTCTGAAGATGAATGTAGAAGAGATATAAAAGGACTTCTGCAGAGTTCTACAACTCAGGCAGGTGAAAGTATATATTAAATAAGGTTTATTCATTCATTTATTCAGCCATGGTTGAGGGCCAAATGCTATGTGACTCTCTAGGGGGACTGGCTCCAACCCTTGAGCACCATCTCCCGTAGACAATGGAACCCGCTGTCCCTGTGCTGCTGTGTTCACATGCAGAGTAAGGTTCTAAGAGGGTTGAAGTCCTCCAAGCAGACCACACAGTCCAAGGCAGTCTCTGATGTTTTGCAGAGAAAGGTCACTCAAGTTGATTTCTAATATGAATCAGTAGGGAGACGTCCCCAAGAAAGAGGTGGCTCCAGAAAGCCTTCAGTAATGACCTTAAAGTAAACATCCATTTTCCATCACATACACTCAGTTGCCACAGGATCCATAACATACAACCTTATTTGCTAACGTCAAGAGCTGTCCCTTTCTATAACAAACTAGAACTGCAGAAAGACACGTTCCCTTTTACAATTAGCACTTGGCATTGAAACACACTTTCTGGAGGTTTTGACATGTCTCTAAATGGCAACTCTAGCAGATATGTTTCTCCCCAGGTAGTAACAAGCTATTACCACGCTCTTGACGTCCCTTGATTTTCTCTCCTACCCACATGAATCCCACCACGGATCATGAACCAAGGCCCGCCTTTCCTAGGAGCCTTCATTGCCCAGCCTACTCCATGCCACAGTGACCGCTCCCTCCTCCAGCTTCTAATGGCACAGGTGGTGGGGAGGGAGCAGAGGAAAGGGTGACTACATGTCCTCATTTTGCTAGGAGCATTCTGGTAGTGTATGTCTGTTGTTTTAGCATCATTATTAATAGCACATCTACTCTCAAAAGTACGCTAATAGGATGATGTTATGTGGTTTTCCATGGCACAGTGAATCCACCCTGGAGGCCTCAGAGTCTAAGGTGTTGCAAAGGCTTGGCCCTTTCTACATTCCTGTGCACTGATCACAGTGCATAGGAAAGAGAGGCACAATGCTTCAAACTGCTACCAAGCACACTCATCCCCCACAGTGGGCCTCACTACAGGGCCTTTGCTACTCCATCCTGCTCTCTGCCCCAGCATACTGGCTCATTCGGACTAACCACAGCTGATCAGGGTCTAGGTCATGCTAAGTGGCTCAAGCCTCCATCAACACCCTCTTCCCTTGTCTTTCTATTTTTTAATACCCCAAGCCATAGCTCAAAATTCTGACAACTGCTTATTTGCAAAATTTCCAAGATCTAGGTATAGATGGATGTAGAAACATCTTAAGGGATTTAGCTTCAGCTGTTTTACATAAAGAGAGCAGAAGGTAATACACATCTCATGTTTTCTCAGCATCCAGGCACACCCAAGGCATCATCTTCCCATTAGAGCCCTAATGAGGGGATGGCCAATCCCAGGTTCCATGCAGACCTCCTAGCCTGTTCCTCGAACTGGCTTTGACCTACCAGCCAGTTAGCTTCATCCATCAAGACGGGTATGGATATTTCCACTGCATGTTTCAATCATAGGTATTGAGAAGACATGCAGGAAATGGGAAAAGAGCTGCCTTACACTTTGTGAGGTTTACCTTGTGTTCCATGAAAGGTGAACTTACAGACGGAGGTATGACCTTGGGTGGCACCAAGACAGGTAGATCTCTGCACTCTTACTCCCAGACCCAAGGCTTATATACCATAGGGAAAAGCATATGTGCTTCAGCAAGACAATTAAAGGCAATCCTCTAGCACAGGCAGGAATGGTATATGTGTCATAGCCTGTAATTTGTGCAATAACATCAAGGCCGCTTTGGTCTAAGGGCAGGATCCATGGTGAGTTAAACATTCTTACATAAGAGAAGTAAATAAAGTAGAATTCTTGGAGGTATTCCCAGGACTGGGGTTAATCAGAAGTCAACATGGTGGATTGAAGTCTGAGATGTCACTGTCAACTCCACACCTAGATCTTGGATGCTGATTAAGTAGGAACCTGGGAGCAGGATTAGAGTCAACAGCCAATCTTCTGCCAAGCTCCTACTTCACTTAGGCCAAGGGATGCGCTGGCAGTAAATGAGGTAGGGTCAGAGTATTCACAGCCCACTTCCCACTGTGGGTCCTCTTGACTTCCCTTGTACTCCTTCTCCATGCAAAGTGACCTTTTTCATAACATGTTCCACTTCTGGCTTCTGATGACAGCTCCTGCACATCCCCCAGCCTGCGCTATCTCGTGTGGCTTCCCAGCCCGCAAGTTTCAAATTGTATTTGGTGCCTTTCTTAAACTTCCTTGAAGTCTTCTTATTTGGGAGCCCCTTCTGTTTCTCCAGGTCCCTGACTGACACACTATATCACAGACCAGGTCCATTCTCCAGGTCTTATGTTTGCAACACAAATTCTAAGTCCCAGAGACCAACTGTGCCATTGTGCAGTTGTAAAGACTAGAGCAGAGCGGGGCAAGAATAGGTAGCGCAGGTGGGCCAGGAACATCGAAGGGTCCATCTGGGCATCAGGGATCCTGCAGAGGAGCAAGGAAGTCCAGACTCTGATTGTCAGAGCAGTCTTCCACGGTCACCTGTCTCCTAACCCCAGCCCAATTTCATTTTCCAGCCTCTGCCCACAACACTTCCCCAGCACACCCTCCCAACCCTGGCCCACCAGTCTGTTTTCCACCTCAAAGGGGCCATGCTTGTTCCTTTCACCCGTTATCCCCCATCTCTACGTCCCCAGAATCACTCACTCTAGAATCCTTCCAGTGAAAACCGCAGGCTCCACCTTGCCTCTCGTTTGACCATTCTTGGGTTTTCAGGGTGAATCTCTTCCCTTCAATAGCTCCCACCCTTCATTTGCACAGTACGCAGTATTTAACTTTTCTCCACAGGTTCCAAAGGCTGATTTCTTGCAAGCAAAGGCCACCTGATGTGTCTTTTTTTACAAATCTCTGCTGAACAGGTAACAGGTGCCCAATAAAACTTTGTGAGTTGGCAGTCTAAGGGCATCTACCCTCAAAACAGCTAACGTAGCATTTTATGGGAGTGGAAACGGAGTCGTGTGGAAAGACGACCAGGCACTTTCGTTTTTGAGATGGAGTCTAGCTCTGTCCCCCAGGATGGAGTACAGTGCTGCGATCTCAGCTCACTGTGGGCATGCACCACAAAGCCTGGCTAATTTTTGTATTTTTAGTAGAGACAGGGTTTCACCATGTTGGCCAGGATGGTCTCCATCTCCTGACCGTGTGATACACCCACCTCGGCCTCCCAAAGTGCTAGGATTACAGGCGTGAGCCACAACTGGCCCAGGCATTTTTTTTTTTTGGAAAAGAATGTATTTTCACTTCCTTTGAGATACCCTCAATGTTTTGAATTTAAAAAAATTTAAAAAATCTACAATCATTTTGGAAGGAAAATAAAATAGGGTTTGTTTTATAAATCATTTTGGATGAATTTGTTTCTCCAAAATTAAAGTCTAAAACCAGGTGGGTTTCCTTGATTCCAAAGCTTTTCATGTTCTTTCGTGTGTCAAGCGAAAACACAGTTGCTATGGCAACCACTCATTATTTTTCAGGAGTTGGCTAGATATTTTAACAACAAAAAAAATCCCCAAATCTTTCTAGCCTCCAAATATTCTTAATTTATATCCTACAGTGGTTTCTAATTTTCATATTTCCTTCACTAAGTGCTTTGTTGAGCTCTAACAAGCCTAACCAACCCACAACTTTGTCACTAAATGAGCTTGGGAATAACTCAGTTGCTGGCTCTCTCCCCATATTGTTCGTATCTAAGAGACTTTCAAGATTTTCTGACATTTTGGAATCTTGCTTCATCTTCAAGGTGAAAGATATATTTGAGTTTAGCAATGCCTTAAAATGGTGTGTGTGTGTGTGTGTACATATGCACTGAAGTTTGAAAGTCGTAATATAAATTGAGAAAACAAATATTCTTTAAACATTCTATATTAAGCCCCTTTTCTGTGCTTTTTTCAGAATCTCATTGTGGTGCTAAAATTTCTGAAGGATTCAATGAAAGCAGATGACAACACAACTACTTTCAGCACACTTAATGTCTGCTTGGAAAAAGCAAATCAAAACATGAAAGAGATGATATATAAAATACAGTCCTGAATGCATTCACATGTAATTTACAGAGAGTTGAGATCATGAAGGAAGGAAGTAGACACTGTCGGAAATATCTAAGTTTACAGAGGATACTTGTACAGCCAGGGTTTTGTGAAAGAATTAATAACAGAAGAATTATATCTATAATCTATTGGCCGGGAGCAGTAGCTCATGCCTGTAATCCCGACACTTTGGGAGGCCAAGGAGGGCAGATCATGAGGTCAAGAGATCGAGACCATCCTGGCCAACAAGGTGAAACCCCATCTCTACTAAAAATACAAAAATTAGCTGGGCATGGTGATGCGTGCCTGTAGTCTCAGCTACTCGAGAGGCTGAGGCAGGAGAATTGCTTGAACCCGGGAGGCAGAGGTTGCAGTGAGCTGAGATCACACCACTGCACTCCAGCCTGGTGACAGAGCAAGACTCTGTCTCAAAAATAAAAATAATAATAATAATAATAATAATAATAATAATAAAATCTATAATCTATTTAAGGTTCTCAACAGGGCCATTCTACCTCCTAGGAAGCATTTTTGAAATGAGGAGTTTTTCAGTTGTCACAATGAATCCTAGACTTCACTGGCATTTGGGGTAGAGGCCAGGGGGCTGGACACCCTGCAATGGGTAGAGATCCTGCACGGTGAGAAGTGTAGGTGCCCCACATCCCAGTTTTCAACAGACTCATTGGAATAAATCCACAGAACTATAAATAAGGAGTACTTCAGTACATAATGATACTGAAAGTTTTTATGGGATGAAAAATAAAGGGTCCAGGGATTCAGGACAAGCTCGTTGCAGAGGTGGACGCTGGCTTCTTAATTCTACACATTGTGTCTATTATTGAATATGGTGTCTATGGAGTATTGTGTCTAGTGAGTATTTTATAACCCATCCAACTACAAAGTTAATTGGCTTTAGTACAGAGTTACAATCACTACACAAACAGTGCAACAATGCAAAGGCATTTTAAATCACCTTAGTCAAATAGGAACATTCTTAGAAGCAAACATTATTTTTAGTGCAAACACATGAAACATAGAGGTCTTAATAAAGTTTATCAAAAGCATTGTTTTAAAACATTTTATAGTGTTTCCTATATGCTTCACAATTATAGCACCAGAACAAGAAATCTACATGGTAAACTTTAAGTATTGAAATTATTTCCTGGAGGGAGGAATCTGTGTTTTTTCGGTCCTTTTCTGACACTGCCCCCAGGATCTTATCATACAACTTCTCTAGAGACCTATTTCGGTTTCTGTTTCAAAGAGCTGTATTCCTCATTAAGTATCAGAGGTTACAGTTTACAAGGCATTTATTAAGCACTGGAGACTGAGGGTACACCTTGTCAGGTGGTAGGATCCCAGGGACACTTCATTCCCCCCATCCATGTCATAATTTGTTTCACGCCATGCTTAAAAAGAAGAAGCCACACCTGGCTATCAGTGGAGAATCTCACACATTTTCTCCTCTCAATCTGTGATCCACCTTGGTACGCATCCTGTATTTCAAATGGAGTGTGTCCCCATTTTCTTTTCATTTTCAAAATAAAACTAATCTATTATTACTTAATCTCAGGCTTTATTCTAAGGTTCTTCTGTATTATCTGCTCTTCCCTTTTCCTATATTTTTTATATGGAACTATTTCTGGTCTGCTTTTTAAAAATTTATTATTTATTTTTGTGATGGAGTTTTGCCCTCGTCACCCAGGCTGGAGTGCATTGCCACGATCTCGGCTCACTGCAACCTCCGCCTCCCAGGTTCAAGAGATTCTCCTGCCTCAGCCTCCCGAGTAGCTGAGATTACAGGCACCCGCCACCGTGCATGGCTAATTTTTGTATTTTTAGTAGGGACAGGGTTTCACCGTTTTGGCGAGGCTGGTCTTGAACTCCTGACCTCAGGCGATCCACCTGCCTTGGCCTCCCAAAGCGCTGGGATTATAGGTGTGAGGCACTGCACCCAGCCTTTTTTTTTTAAAAAAAATATTTTAAACCCAGTTTTACTCTTTACACATAGGAAGAAGCTTCTGACTTCATCACAGATGTCAGTGCCCTAGCTGCAGACCACCTGGCAAGCAGGACCTGAGCAGTGACATGCTGAAGGACAGATAACTGGATTATAAGTTCATTCCTTTATTTAGCCTATATATTGAAACTTTTAAAGTGGTATATGCATATACGTTTTATCACCTATGAATTTAATTTAAATTAGGAAAGGAGCATTAAAATAATTTGCCAAAATAAGGAGGTGTAGGTTCTGGTACAGTTGAGAGTTATTGTCTATTTCAACACATGTATCTCTTTTTTAAAAATTTATTTTATGTTTATTTCAATAGTTTTTGAGGAACAGGTGGTTTGGGGTTACATGGGTAAGTTCTTTAGTGGTGATTTCTGAGGTGTCGGTTCACCCATCACCTGTGCAGTATACACTGTACCCCATGTGTAATCTTTTATCCTTCATCCCCCTCCCAGCCTTCCCCCCGAGTCCCCAAAGTCCATTATATCATTCTTATGCCTTTGCACCCTCATAGCTGAGCTCCCACTTAAAAGCGAGAACATACGATACTTGGTTTTCCATTCTTGAGTTACTTCACTTAGAATAATGGTCTCCAACTCTGTCCAGGTTGCTGTGAATGCCATTGTTTCATTCATTTCTTATGGCTGAGTAGTATTCCATGGTGTATATATACCACATTTTCTTTCTCTACTCCTTGGTTGATGAACATTTAGGCTGGTTCCATATTTTTGCAATTGTGAGTTGTACTGCTATAGGCGTGCGTGCAAGTGTCTTTTTCATATAATGACTTATCTTCTGCTGGGTAGATACACAGTAGTGGGGTGGCTGGATCAAATGGTAGATCTACTTTTAGTTCTTTAAGGAATCTCCACACTGTTTTCCATAGTGGTTATACTAGTTTACATTCCTACAAGCAGTGTAGAAGTGCTCCCTTTTCACCATATCCATGCCAACATCTATTATTTTTTGATTTTTTAATTATGGCCATTTGTGCAGGAGTAAGGTGGTATTGCATTGTGGTTTTAATTTGCATTTCCCTGATCATTAGTGATGTTGAGCATTTTTTCATATGTTTGTTGGCCATTTGTATACCTTCTTTTTAAAATTTTCTATTCATGTCCTTAGCCCACTTTTTGATGGGATTATTTGTTTTTTTCTTGCTGATTTGTTTGAGTTCCTTGTACATTCTGGATAGTAGTACTGTGTCAGATACATAGTTTGCAAATATTTTCTCCCGCTTTGACAACACATGCATCTCTTGATTTCCATTTCTTTTCAAGAAAATAGTGACTTGCTTATGAAAGGCATATACCAATCATAAACTGAGCTGGAACTCTCAGCGGGGTCTTTATCCTCCCTGCCCTGGTTCTTGACACTCCCCTCCCTGCTGTGGCTATAAAGCTTCAGGCCCAGGGAGTAGCCGGTGTGTCTCTTATGCCAATTCCTCTTATGTGACTCTTTCAGCAATTTAACCTTTCTTTTTCTATTTTCTTAAAGCATTAAATGGAGACCTATAAATGTTACTTCATGGATAGCTGCAAAGATTAAATGAATTTATATTGGAAAGTTGTTTAAAACAGCCCAGCTGGTAACAAGAACTGTGTAAGTATGACCAATTGTTTCTGTTTGGTCCATTGATCTACTTATTCTGTCTCCACATCCATGTGGGGTATAGTCATCAGAATTACTAAGACTTTATAATAAGTGCCATCTAGTTAGACAGAAATGTTCCTCTTCATGATTGTCTTGTTAGTCTTGGTGTTTTAATGCTTTCATAATATTTGCTCCTACCTATTTTACTAATTAATATATGCAGAAACTCACAACTCACACAGTACAGATCACATAAAATATCATCTTCATCCTTCCCACCCTATTTCCCCGAAGGTTATGACATGCACCTGTTGAGTATATATGTTCTCCAGGTCTCTTTCTCTCTCTATATATCTACATATCTATATACATATATATAGATATCTATATAGATATCTATATAGATATATAGATATCTCTCTATATAGATATCTATATATATCTCTATATCTCTATATAGATCTCTATATATCTCTCTATCTCTATATAGATCTCTATATATCTCTATATGTATATATGGAGATACATAGATAGATAGATAGATAGATAGATACATACATACATACATACATACATATATATTTTAGAGACAGAGTTTCACTCTTGTTGCCCAGGCTGGAGTGCAGTGGCACAATCTCAGCTCACTGCAACCTCCTCCTCCCAGGTTCAAGCAATTCTCCTGCCTCAGCCTCCCGAGTAGCTGGGATTACAGGCACCCATCACCAGACCCAGCTAATTTTTTGTATTTTTAGTAGAGATGGGGTTTCATATTTATTTAAAAATAACTTACTTTTAAATAAATTAAGCAACAGCAAGTTTTTCCAGACAGGAATACCAATTTCTCCTTAGGATCTTTAATGCCAAGGATGTAAAACTAATGGATGTGGGGAGATTTTTAGCTAAGAAATGAAAGGTTTTATTCTGGATCTTGGCCTTTACACATTGCAATTATTTTGCTGAAGTTCATTCATGTATTAATCGCGATGAGTACTGAGACCCTATCTTGTGTAAAGGTAAGTATGGAAAAGTACTCATCCTTGAGTCTTCTGGGCTGGTGGGCACGGCCGACACTTAAGTGAATAACTGATGTATAAAACACTAAGTGTGATCACAGATATAGGTCCAGGGGCTGCGGAACAGGAGCCGGAGCCATGGAGAGGAGCAAAGGAGATGACAGGAGGAAGCGCAGGCTTGGAAAATCCTTGGTAGAGAGCACAGATTTAGAGGAGAAGGCAGACCAGGAGTTCCCCCACTAAAGGGCATCCTAAACAGAAGGAAGGAGACAAAGGCAGACAGAGGACCATGGAAGGCCATGACGGTGCCTGAAAGCAGTCACGATCCCAGCGTCACAGACCAGAGTCAGGGCTGTCAGAGAGGCCGCCCAGGGCACGAAGGAACGTGCTCGCTGCACAGAGCGACTTTACATTTAAATTCTTTCTTTTGGGCAATTAAGGGACCACAGAGGACATGAGGCTGAGGTGCAGCTACTCCAGGGTCCCTGAACCTGCAGATATGGGCCCGAGATGGCAGCAAAACGGGGAGCAGGAGGACCCACGGGAGGGTGGATGAACCCTGGATTCTGCAAAGTCACAGTCGTCATGTCTCACAGTTGCTGGCAGGGACTGCGTGAGCGTGTGGGTCCCCCGGCTCTCTCTGTGCCAGACAACCATACACGTGGGAAGAGCCATCACTTACCACTCTGCAAACCACATTAAGTGAGGGCCTGTGGCTTCCGACAGTTGCTTTCCTTCATGTTGCTCTGATGGAACCACCAGGGACATCAAGCCCAAGCCCTTGGGCTCATTAGCATGGTGCTGGGACAAGTCCCCCAAACAAACGGGCACAGGTTCCAGGCTATTTTTATTTCCATCCGACTCAGCACAGCCTAATAACCCTTGGTGTGCAATGAAAAACACCACACTTGCGTGCAAGAGCCTATTGATGTCCTGTAATATCAGGGTAGGCAGCTACCTGCTCTCTTCCAGTGCTTACTGTTGGGCTGGAAGAATGATACTGGAAACAGTGAGCCAACTCTGTGATGTAAGCCTCTCAGCAGGGAGATCTGTGCAATTCATGCATTACAAATGCACAATCAGGGAGCTTTCTCATGACAAAAAGGAATCAAATCCTGTCTATTATTGAGAAGTCCTCCTTTAGGTGAGCAGCAAAGCGCAGGCGGCTTTGCAAAGCAGCAGCATGCTGTTAGCAAGGTCTGGAGGGCCACACCTCTGGAAAGGATGTTTGTCATGATACAAACATATAAACTAACACCATGGATAAGCAATTGATTCTTCAAAGAAGAGCCTTTCTCATGAAAATCCTGAAATAATATATGGAGTTTAGGGGGAATGAACAGAACTGCAAGTGGATATAAGCTCTTCCATCTTGCCAGTTTTCCCTTATGTAATAATTTCCTTCTATTGACATAAGGAATAATGTTTCATAGCCTACTGCTTTTCCTCCCCAAGCCTCATTGCACTTTTGCAATGCCAGGAAACTCTAATCAGTACACTCTACCCTCTGGTGTCCACACTCAAAAAGCACATCACCCTGTTTTTTTCCCTCCAACATTAGCATGTGTACCAGGCACGTGGATGAAAATTATTAGCTACTAGGGGGATTGTATTTGTTTGCTTAAAACTGTTGATTTTTCTGTTTTCAAGGGATCGAGATTTTAGACTAATTTAACTAGCTGCATTTTTCCCTTGTATCACACAGGGAAGTTGAAGAAAGACGAAAGCCCCCTCTCTTTTCCCCAGCAGTAAGACAACGGTGTCCTCTTTTACTCTCATTTGAAGACATCCTAGAACATAACTTATGTGAAGGCTTAGTATAAAATATGGGCACAAACAGGATCCAACGTAATAAAATGTTTTTAGCGGAGGAAAATGATATCTGGCATTTGTTTCAAATCATAGTGGTAGTGAAATGGATGAAACGAGATTGCCGAAGCCTTGATAATTATACAGCTGGGTCATGGGTACAACCGGCTTATTGCCTAATTCCCTCCACTTTTCCGTATGTTTGGAAATTTCCAGGAATCAAGTTTTTCCCCATCTTAGTCTGATGCAGACTGAGCTACTATGTCTGAAGGATAAAGATGTGACATTCTAACATGTGAACCAGGGCAGTGGAAGGAATACAGCTTTAGAAATCAGAAACACGTAAATTCTCACCCTGCTTCGAACTCTCGCTGACTGCGAGGCCTTCGGAGGGTCACTCCATCTCTCTTCATCTAAGCTAGTTTCCATATTTGTAAAATGAGAATAATGAAACCTCCCACACAAGGTTATTCCGGGGATAAAGAAAGGGAAAATGCCTGGCACACAGAAGGCAAATGACGTAGCTTCCCTTTCTCCTTTTTCCAGCAGCCCTCAGATAAATAAATCCCAATGGTCAAAAAAATACAACCAGTATGAATAACTCATTAGGAATAACCCTGGCAAACCCTGATTGAGACATTTTGTTTGCTCTATTTCAGTCTTTCATGGTGAAATTCATCATAACATCATTCCACCTTTATCAGCAAAAAACAAATAAAATAGCATGCATGCACATACATGATAAGCCACTATTTTATACTATATGTTGTCTTGATTGGTTTTATATTCAAGCGTTCCTGCTCAATAGCACTGATGTATCTCAGGCCTCTATTATTTCAAAGAGGATGGATTAAAGGCAATATGAAAGAACAGCTATTAATGCCATACTATCTTTATATAATACAGTTCATCTGGCAATTTCCAGAGTTTGGCCCATGGGTAATTCACTTATTGGGAATGGTTTGAGTGAACACTACAAATACAGTTTCCCATACCTTCAATTAACCAAATGATGTGAAGAATTATCTGTGCTAATTTAAATTTTCTGTTAAACTAAGCATTAAACAGAGGGCTGTCTTTGTTTATAGTGGATTTTAATGAAGGAAACTGACTTAGCTATTTTCCTTAAGAATTTTGCATGACCTCATTAATTAATTATGTCATTCAGGAAAAAAAATCTTAGAGAAGCAAATATAGAAGTTGATGGAAAATTTGACAGCATGTATATTAGAGGCAAGCCTTTTGCCAATTAGCATGTCATCTAACTGATCACATAAAACACTTAAAATTTGTCAGGACCTTTTAAAAATGAACAAAAATGTCATAAAATAATAGATGTATCACAACTATCTTCTGAGAAATAAATGCATTTATTTGTCTCACTTTTTAAAGGAGAAAATCAAACCGAGGCTTAAGGTTTTCTTCCATATAATTAATTTGTGACCGAGCCAGGATTCAGAGCCAGGTGGTCTGACTGCCTAAGAAGCTCTTTCTGCCACTCACACCCTGCCAATCTCTGTACACAGTGAACGACACAGTCCACAATTACCTGATACCTCGGTATGGGGCTCTAGGGAAACTTTCTTCTCTTTTGCTGCCTTACCTAAATTCCTGATAGTACACAGTGAACGGCACAGTCCACAATTACCTGATACCTCGGTGTGGGGATCATTGCATATGAGAAACTGTTTTGTTTTGTTTTGAGACGGAGTCTCGCTCTATTGCCCAGACTGGAGTGCAGTGGCACAATCTCGGCTCACTGCAAACTCCGCCTCCCGGGTTCACGCCATTCTCCTGCCTCAGCCTCCCGAGTAGCTGGGACTACAGGCGCCCACCATCACACCCGGCTAATTTTTCGCATTTTTAGTAGAGACGGGGTTTCACTGTGTTAGCCAAGATGGCCTGAAATCTCCTAACCTCGTGATCCGCCCGCCTCGGCCTCCCAAAGTGCTGGGATTAGGGACGTGAGCCACTGCGCACGGCCCCATAGTTCTTTTTTTAAGTTGTCCAAATAATTGGGCATTTTGCAAAGCTACCTTTAAGAAGATGCCACTTGAAGGAGGAATAAACACTGACTTGATTAATTCATCTAACTCTATCAGACACAGGAACACTGATTTGTTATTAAATGAAGTATCATCAAAAGAAGATAAATAACCAATGGTCCATGGCAACCTAGCTCTCAGTCAGGTTTAAATTTTTGAAAAAACAAAATACTGTGCTTAATTCCAAATAAGAATAAAAAATATAAATAATGGGCCAAAGACTTTTAAAACTATAATTTGAACATTCTCGAAAATTATACTTTATTTTCAGACTCTGGAGTCCACAGTTTAACTCTTGAAAAGTAGTCACTAGAGCATGCTTGTATCAAAACATCTTATGTACCCCATAAATATATACTAGGTGCCCAAAAAATAAAAAAATTAAAAACTTTAATAAAAAGAAAAATAGCCACCAGAAAACACTCTTCATTGAATTAGTCCTCTTAATTGATTTTTTGACTTTTATATTTTATTTCTAAGTCGATATGTTTTAAAAATAATGATTATGCAGGCTTTCCATTCAGAATATGGAAATCATCTGGAATTTGGTTTTAGGGGACTCTCTCTTGACCCAGCCGTGCCCTTCACTATTTTACAGTCCAATTATCTTCCTCCCACGGGGGCTGGAGCCCTGTGCATTACTTATGGGACAGGCTCTTAGATGTGTGGCATTGACATCTTTGTGGCTGGGTTTTTATCTGTCTCATAAAAGAGGTGTGTGCATGCCTGTGTCTGTGTCTGTGTCTGTGTGCATTTGTGTAAGTGCACGGGAGATCAAACCTCAATGTAATTTGACAATTCTCATAGGTTAATTTCCAATCATCAGACTTTAAAGCAGTGAATTAAGCCTCTGGTGGCCCAGTTTACTAAATTTCCAACAGTCAACATCTAGTCTCCAAGTGTCCTTCAGACCTAAGACCCGCCCGGCGCCGAGGCTGATCCCGTGGGCACCTGTTTGTGGGCTTAGCGGCATCTCTGCTTCTGGCCTTTATCCCCCCACCTGACACTCAGCAGCTGCTGTCTGGGAAGAGGAGGGCCTGTGCAGCAGCCCGGAAGAAACCCCCACACTCATCCCCCTGTGCTACGTGCCTCGGGTTCGTGTTAATCCGACTTTGGTCACCTCAGCCTCAACCACACCTGTGCTCCTGCCAAAGCCACCCTCCCTGCAGACACCAGCTGCCCTCCAATGCCGGGGCCACTGGGCCCTTTCCCAATTCAGGTTACTTGTCTGCTATGAGCCTGCCTTTTCTGCTTTCTTAGAGGTAGCTTTCTCCTGGATTCTAACAGCATCTTCTTCCCATCCTTTTTTCCAGGCCTTCCCTGAGGCCAGAAGCCTGTAAACATGGGAGTCACCCAGCTTGTTCTCCAGCCCTCTCCTCTTATTACACTGCCCATTGCTTCTGGGTAATCTCTCAATTCTTATTACTCCAAGAATCAACAATAGAATAATAACCTCAAAATACAAACACCTCCACCACAGGATTGCTGTGTCAAGCCGATGCCTCCTCCCACAGTGGCCTGTGTTCAGCACAAATGTTGACACCCCTAAGGGCATCCTGCAGCTGCCCCTTCCCTGCTAACCTCTCCTTCCCCAACTAAGCCATCGCCAAATTCTGTTCGTTTCATTCAACTTCAAACGAGTCTCTTGCCAGGCACGGTGGCTCATGCCTGTAATCCCAGTACTTTGGGAGACCGAGGTGGGAGGACTGCTTGAGCCCAGGAGTTTGAGACCAGGCTGGGCAACATAGGAAGACTCAATCTTTATCAAAAACAAAAAAAAAAAAAACAAACAAAAAAAAACCATGAGTGGGTGTGGTGGCATGCACTTGACAGGCTGAGGCAGGAAGATCGCTTGAGCCCAGGAGTTCGAGGTTGCAGTGAGCTATGATCATACCACTACACTGCAGCCTGGGTGGCAGAGCCAGACCTCACTGCAACCAATAAAACAAACAAACAAAAACTCTTACACTGCTCTCCTTCTTTCCAGCAACATTACTGCTTTTTGGAAAATACCGAAATGGAAGCAGAAAAACAGAAATCTCATGTGTCTGCTTCCAATTTTCAAATGACTCCCCATGACCTTAAAAAAAGTCATCTGAGGCCTAAGCCCCATGGTGCCCTGCCCATCTCCGAGGGTCATTCTGAATGGCTTTGCCCCACATGCACGAGTCTCCAGGCCCACATACCTCCCTGAATACTCTGAGCTCTCCCTGATGCTGCTGCTTCTCTGATAACCATGGGGTTGTTGCCTCCACCTGAGATAGCTTTCTCCTCCTTCTCAAGGTTATCTCCCATTAACTCTTCAAGAATCATCCTAATCATCGAATCTCCCAGAAAACTCTCCCTGACACCCTTGAAGCTGAATGAAGTGTCCCTCCTCTCGCTCCCATGGGCTCCTTTGCATTTTCTCAGATAACAATAAGATAAGGTGATGTGTTTGACTTGAAGGCAAGGACTGCTTTATTTATGCAGTACCATGTATTGAAGCCCTAGTACTTGTGAAACGATTAATATATAGGTTTAAAAAAACTAATCAATGTGTCTTCCTATTAGTTATTGGATATAAATTTCTTACCATGTGCCTCCAGCCCTGTGCTGCCCAATATGGTAGCCACTAGCCCCATGTGGCTGGCTATTTAAATTTAAAATAGATGAAGGTTAAATAAAATTTAAAATTGAGTTCCTCAATCTCACAGGCCTCATTCCAAGCACTCAACAGCCATATGGGGCAAGTGGCTATTGGATTGGATGGTATAGATAGACAGCCTTTCTGTCACCAGAGAGTGCTAACCAACTGCACTATTCTAGACTCTTCATGGGACAGACACAGCTCATTTATTTGCTCACATGCCTGTCTCTCCCCAGACTGACACTCAAAAGCATTTCTGTATCCCATGGTGTCAGCCTTGCATCAGGCCATGGTTGGTATCGAGTAAAAGTTTGTTATAGATGAATGAATAAAATCTTTATTGTACAATATCCACTATGATTTATCTTCCCTGTTCAGGAAGGTGACCTTGCCCTTCTACATGAGACTCTCACTTTCTTCGCTCCTACTCTTGTCTCTGCCAAACTCTAGCACCCTTGAAGGTCCTGCTCAGGAGCCCCTTCCCACACACCCCTCCCACCACTTAAGCTGCCTCACTCACTCCATTCGCAATGGCAGTTTCCCATGTGAATGCCTGCAGGGCTGACCGCTGCATGCCCCTCAGCTTGGTGGGTGTTCTTCGTGGCATAGAGCACATGCGTGTTAACCTGGCTCCAGGGCACAACAGCAGAGGGCTCTGTTCAGTAGGGACAAGTCCATTTAATTGCAATGTGGCATCATTGTAAAAAAATCTGAGGCTGGGCACAGTGACTCACACCTGTAATCCCAACACTTTGGGAGGCCAAGGCAGGCAGATCACCTGAGGCCAGGAGTTCAACACCAGCCTGGCCAACATAGTGAAACCCCATCTCTACTAAGAATACAAAAATTAGCCAGGCATGCTAGTGTGTGCCTGTAATCCCAGCTACTCAGGAGGCTGAGGCAGGAGAATCACTTGAACCCGAGAGGCAGAGGTTACAGTGAGCTGAGATTGTATCACTGCACTCCAGCCTGGGTAACAGAGAGAGACTCTGTCCCAAATTTAAAAAAAAAAAGTAAAAAAAAAAAAACAAATCTGAACCTAGCCGTGGCTGATATTTCAGTAGTCACAGAAGTGTGAAGGTGAGGCTTAGAAGAATGTGAGGGTCTCCAACAGGAAAAATTACGGGTATTCTGGGCCTGCTTAAGGCCAGTGGGATACCAAGGCGGCTTCTTAGGAGGATAAAACAACTCACCTCCTGAAGCCCTCATGCAGGCCAGTCAGAAGACATCCTTGGCCCCCAGGAACTTGCCCCATTCCCTGAGGAAAACCCAGTCCCTGAGTAAAACCTGAGTCCAACTCAGGGCCTCTATGCCACTGATGTCGGTGGAACACAGGACTCAGGCTTCTCCAAGGAGCTCTAGGGGCTGAGTGACAGGCAGGTGTATTTATACCATTGGCCTGGTCCTAATTTGTGCCTTTTGCCATTATACCTTGATGGACAATTTGCTTACAATTTCTGCTCTCGGGGGTGGGGGTACTAGGACCATGGTGTAACTGCTTACGTAGTGGTATTCAGTAGGGCCTGGCCTGTGCACCCGGCCAGTGAGGACAGCAAAGAGGACAGAGCTCCACTTCACTGCTGGTTGTGTTTTCCTTGGGCCCTTCCTGTTTTGTTCTTACTGGGGGGAATGTTGGAATGGAATGTGGGCACTCAGGCTGTATTGTTTTCACCCTGTATGGCAGCCAGTGATGGGAGGTGTCCCTGCTTGCTCCCAGGGCCCTCTAAGAGTGATGGGAGGTGTCCCTGCTTGCTCCCAGGGCCCTCACAGCCTTGCCCCTTCTTCCGGTCTATTTCATCTCTGCCTTGTTGGAGCTGGTTTAAGTGGCAGTGATGTCTGTCCTTGCAGCTGCTGCTCATCACAAGCAGCTATGATTACAGGTAAGATAGTGACGATGGTGAGGATGGTGTGTCATGATAATGCTATGGAAATTCAGATGCAGGAACAGTCACCCATTTAGGGAGTTGAGACAGGTAGATGAGGTTGCTGCTTTGGAGGTGACAGCATTAGAATGGGACCTGAAAGGAGGGGTGCATTTTGAGAGGAAGCTCTTGTAAGGAAAAGGCATTTGAGGATGAGACGCTGCAAGGTCTGCAGAACCACTTTGTCCTAATGGAGATTCCCTCCCTGGCCAGTCCTGTTCCTGTCTGTGCAACGTGCTTGCGGTGCAGGCCCTGACAACACAACTGACTCCAAGTGGCTGGGCCATGTGACCAGTGCTGGATCAACCAGAAACCCTGAATGAGATTTCACATGTAGACCCTGGGAGAGAGCATGCCTCTGTCTTCCTCTCTCGTTAGGAAGTGTAAAACTTCATGAGCTTAGAGCAGAAACTACCTTTGCTATCTGCTTGAGATTAACACCCACAGAGGAAAGTAAATCTGAGAGTTAGGGAGACAGACAGAAAGAGTTTTGGGAATATCATGTCAGCACCACATCCCAGATAAGAGTGAAGTCCCACAGCCTCTGGTCTTCAGTTCTAAAGAACAATAGGTTACTTTAGTAGAGGTAGTGGTTTGCTATACAATTTGTGCCTTTTTTTTTCTCTGTAGGTCGTCGTGGAATGTGTCTATCACTGAGAGCTGAAAGAAAACTGACCAAGACAAGTTCAATGGCCATGAAATGAACCATGAGCAAATGTCCAGAGGTGGGAAGGCATGGGGTGGATTCCGGGCACTTGACGCTGCCCAGCTTGCTGATGTGCAAAAGGTCTGCTGGAGACTCACAGAAGAGCGTAGCAGGGAAGAGCTCTGGTCAGATGGCAGGACGGGCCAGTGCAATGATTGCGAGGGCCCCAACAATCAAGACCAGGAGGTTCTGCTGTGTGGTGAGCACATTGTCAGCCTGAACGGGGAGTGGGACAGAGGTGTATGGGGGTACAGGGTAGATGAGTGTCCCCTCCCTGCAGCAGGGCTCTGTTTGTCCTACCATTGAACAACTCGGTGGGTTTTCCCCACTCTGATCAGCCCAGGACTCTGCTTGCTAGCTGGGTTGCAAAAGCTCCTGGACCCTTTTCTTCTCAAACCAATTATCTCTTCCTGGGCTTTGCGTTTGCTCTAGGGCTCTTCTCATTCTTGGATGCTCTAGCTGTGCTCTGTCCCTGGAGGCTTCCCGAGACTCATGAGTATCAGCTCCTGACATGATTCTCCTTCACTGTCTTTTTTATTAGGGTTTCATGCAGACTCTCATGCACCTGCCGTCGGAAGATTTGAACTTTCTTCTAGGACACCTAATATCCACAGTACTCCAGGTGGGTCCTAAGGATCTGAGGATCCACAATGGGGGTCCTAAGCCAGGGGTGGAAGAGGGGCTGGCTCTCAGTCCCCGCCTCGCAGGAGGTGCCTCCCCCCGCTGCAATGGGGGTCCTAAGAGCCAGAGGGGGAAAAGGGAGTGGCTCTCAGTCCCTGCCTCGCGGGGGGTGCCTCCCCCACTTGCGATGGGGGTACTAACAACCAGGGGCGGAAGAGGGGATAGCTCTCAGTCCCCACCCTCGTGGGGGGTGCTTCCACCTCCTGCGATGGGGGTCCTCAGAGCCAGGGGGGGAAGAGGGACTGGCTCTCAGTCCCTGCCTCGTGGGGGGTGCCTCCGCCCCCAGCGATGGGGATCCTAAGAGCAAAGGGGGGAAGAGGGGCTCGCTCTCAGTCCCCGCGTCGCGAGGGGTGCCTCCCCCCCTGCGATGGGGGTGCAAAGAGCGAGGGGGGGAAGGGGGACGTTCGCAGTCCCCGCCTCGGGGGGATTGCCTGCCCCCCTGCGATGGTGGTCCCAAGAGCCAGGGGGGGAAGAGGGGTTGGCTCTGAGTCCCCGCCTCGCGGGGGGTGCCTCCCACCCCGCGATGCAGGTCCCAACAACCGGGGGGAAGAGGGGATGGATCTCAGCCATCACAAAATAGGGGGCCTTTATGTTCAGGTTTTGCCCAAGAATCAGCTTATTTGCTTCTTTTACTAGCAGGGCAGTTGCTGCCAAGGCCCTCAAATAGGGGGGCCATCCTTTAGCAACTAAAAACCTAGTTGTTTAGAGACGTAGGCTACCGGCCTCAGCCAGGGCCCCACAGTTTGGGTTAAAAGTCCAGCTGCCATCTTTTCTCTCTCTGACGCATACAATGGAAAAGGCTTTGTCAGATCGGGTAGCCCCAGGGCTGGGGCTGCCAGAAGATTTTCTTGTAACTCATGAAAAACTTGCTGTTGTTGGGATCCCCATTTCAAAACTTCCATGTCCCCGCCCCCTTTGTGACCTCATACAAAGGCTTGGCTAATACTGCAGTTTGGGATCCACAGTCTACAAAATCCCACAGCTCCTAAGAATTCTCTCACCTGCCTTCTGCCCTTAAGCTCCGGTAGATTGCAAATAACCTGCTTTCTTTCTGTTCCCGAGCTGCCTTCGGACCCGTCGGATCGTAAATCCCACGTAAGGTACCTGCCGTCGGAAGATTTGAACTTTCTACTTGGACACCTAATACCCACAGTCCTCCAGGTGGGTCCTAAGGATCCTAGGATCAACGAAGGGGGCCCTAAGCCAGGGGGGGAAGAGGGTCTGGCTCTCAGTCCCCGCCTCGTGGGGGGTGCCTCCCCCCTCTGCGATGGGTGTCCTAAGAGCCAGTGGGGGAACAGGGGCTGGCTCTCAGTCCCTACCTCGCGGGGGGTGCCTCCCCCACCCTGCGATGGGGGTACTAACAGCCAGGGGCGGAAGAGGGGATAACTCTCAGTCCCCACTCTCGTGGGGGGTGCCTCCCCCTCCTGTGATGGGGGTCCTCAGAGCCAGGGGGGGAAGAGGGACTGGCTCTCAGTAATCCCACGTAAGGTACCTGCCGTCGGAAGATTTGAACTTTCTACTTGGACACCTAAAACCCACAGTCCTCCAGGTAGGTCCTAAGGATCTTAGGATCAACGATGGGGGTCCTAAGCCAGGGGGGGAAGAGGGTCTGGCTCTCAGTCCCCGCCTCACGGGGGGTGCCTCCCACCTCTGCCATGGGGGTCCTAAGAGCCAGTGGGGGAACCAGGGGCTGGCTCTCAGTCCCTGCCTCGTGGAGAGTGCCTCCCCCCCCTTGCGATGGGGGTACCAACAGCCAGGGGCGGAAGAGGGGATAGCTCTCAGTCCCCACCCTCGCGGGCGGTGCCTCCCCCTCGTGCGATGGGGGTCCTAAGATCCAGGGGGGGAAGAGGGACTGGCTCTCAGTCCCTGACTCGCGGGGGGTGCCTCCCCCGTTGCGATGGGGGTAGTAACAGCCAGGGGCGGAAGAGGGGATAGCTCTCAGTCCCCACTCTCGTGGGGGGTGCCTCCCCCTCCTGCGATGGGGGTCCGCAGAGCCGGGGGGGAAGAGGGACTGGCTCTCAGTAATCCCACGTAAGGTACCTGCCGTCGGAAGATTTGAACTTTCTACTTGGACAACTAACACTCGCAGTCCTCCAGGTGGGTCCTAAGGATCTTAGGATCAGCGATGGGGGTCCTAAGCCAGGGGGTGAAGATGGTCTGGCTCTCAGTCCCCGCCTCGCGGGGGGTGCGTCCCCCCTCTGCGATGGGGTTCCTAAGAGCCAGTGGGGGAACCAGGGACTGGCTCTCAGTCCCTGCCTTGCGGGGGTTGCCTCTCCCCCCCTGCGATGGGGGTACCAACAGCCAGGGGCGGAAGAGGGGATAGCTCTCAGTCCCCACCCTCGCGGGGGGTGCCTCGCCCTCCTGCGATGGGGGTCCTCAGAGCCAGGGCGGGAAGAGGGACTGGCTCTCAGTCCCTGCCTCGCGGGGGGTGCCTCCGCCCCCAGCGATGGGGTCCTAAGAGCAAAGGTGGGAAGAGGGGCTCGCTCTCAGTCCCCGCGTCGCGAGGGGTGCTCCCCCCCCTGCGATGGGGGTGCAAAGAGCCAGGGGGGGAAGAGGGGTTGGCTCTGAGTCCCCGCCTCGTGGGGGGTGCCTCCCCCCCCGCGATGGGAGTCCCAAGAGCCAGGGGGGAAGAGGGGATGGATCTCAGCCATCACAAAATGGGGGGCCTTTATGTTCAGGTTTTGCCCAAGAATCAGCTTATTTGCTTCTTGTACTAGCAGGGCAGTTGCTGCCAAGGCCCTCAAATAGGGGGGCCATCCTTTAGCAACCCTGTCTAGTTGTTTAGAGACGTAGGCTACGGGCCTCAGCCAGGGCCCCACAGTTTGGGTTAAAAGTCCAGCTGCCATCTTTTCTCTCTCTGACGCATACAATGGAAAAGGCTTTGTCAGATCGGGTAGCCCCAGGGCTGGGGCTGCCAGAAGATTTTCTTGTAACTCATGAAAAACTTGCTGTTGTTGGGATCCCCATTTCAAAAGTTCCGGGTCCCCGACCCCTTTGTGACCTCATACAAAGGCTTGGCTAATACTGCAATGTTTGGGATCCACAGTCTACGAAACCCCACAGCTCCTAAGAATTCTCTCACCTGCCTTCTGCCCTTAAGCTCCGGTAGATTGCAAATAACCTGCTTTCTTTCTGTTCCCGAGCTGGAGCTGCGTTCGGACCCGTCGGATCGTAAATCCCATGTAAGGTATCTGCCGTCGGAAGATTTGAACTTTCTAATTGGACACCTAACACCCACAGTCCTCCAGGTGGGTCCTAAGGATCTTAGGAGCAACGATGGGGGGTCCTAAGCCAGGGGGGGATGAGGGTCTGGCTCTCAGTCCCCGCCTCGCGGGGAGTGCCTCCCCCCTCTGCGATGGGGGTCCTAAGAGCCAGTGGGGGAACCAGGGGCTGGCTCTCAGTCCCTGCCTCGCGGGGGGTGCCTCCGCCCCCCTGCGATGGGGGTACCAACAGCCAGGGGCGGAAGAGGGGATAGCTCTCAGTCCCCACCCTCGCGGGGGGTGCCTCCCCCTCGTGCGATGGGGGTCCTAAGAGCCAGGGGGGGAAGAGGGACTGGCTCTCAGTCCCTGCCTCGTGGGGGGTGCCTCCCCCCCTGTGATGGGGGTAGTAACAGCCAGGGGCGGAAGAGGGGATAGCTCTCAGTAATCCCACGTAAGGTACCTGCCGTTGGAAGATTTGAACTTTCTACTTGGACAACTAACACCCACAGTCCTCCAGGTGGGTCCTAAGGATCTTAGGATCAACGATGCGGGGTCCTAAGCCGGGGGGGGAAGAGGGTCTGGCTCTCAGTCCCCGCCTCGCGGGGGGTGCCTCCCCCCTCTGCGATGGGGGTCCTAAGAGCCAGTGGAGGAACTAGGGGATGGCTCTCAATCCCTGCCTCGCGGGGGGTGCCTCCCCCCCCTGCGATGGGGGTAGCAACAGCCGGGGGTGGAAGAGGGGATAGCTCTCAGTCCCCACCTTCGCGGGGGGTGCCTCCCCCTCGTGCGATGGGGGTCCTAAGAACCCGGGGGGGAAGAGGGACTGGCTCTCAGTAATCCCACGTAAGGTACCTGCCGTCGGAAGATTTGAACTTTCTACTTGGACAACTAACACCCACAGTCCTCCAGGTGGGTCCTAAGGATCTTAGGATCAATGATGGGGGGTCCTAAGCCAGGGGGGAAGAGGGTCTGGCTCTCAGTCCCCACCCTCGCGGGGGGTGCCTCCCCCTCCTGCGATGGGGGTCCCCAGAGCCAGCGGGGGAAGAGGGACTGGCACTCAGTCCCTGCCTCGCGGAGGGTGCCTCCGCCCCCAGCGATGGGGGTCCTAAGAGCAAAGGGGGGAAGAGGGGCTCGCTCTCAGTCCCCGCGTCGCGAGGGGTGCCTCCCCCCCTGCGATGGCGGTGCAAAGAGCCAGGGGAGGAAAGGGGGAGGTTCGCAGTCCCCGCCTCGCGGGAATTGCCTCCCCCCCTGCTATGGTGGTCCCAAGAGCCATGGGGGGAAGAGGGGTTGGCTCTGAGTCCCCACCTCGCGGGGGGTGCCTCCCCCCCTGTGATGGGAGTCCCAAGAGCCAGGGGGGAAGAGGGGATGGATCTCAGCCATCACAAAATGGGGGGCCTTTATGTTCAGGTTTTGCCCAAGAATCAGCTTATTTGCTTCTTGTACTAGCAGGGCAGTTGCTGCCAAGGCCCTCAAATAGGGGGGCCATCCTTTAGCAACCCTGTCTAGTTGTTTAGAGACGTAGGCTACGGGCCTCAGCCAGGGCCCCACAGTTTGGGTTAAAAGTCCAGCTGCCATCTTTTCTCTCTCTGACGCATACAATGGAAAAGGCTTTGTCAGGTCGGGTGGGCTGCCAGAAGATTTTCTTGTAACTCATGAAAAACTTGCTGTTGTTGGGATCCCCATTTCAAAAGTTCCGGGTCCCCGCCCCATTTGTGACCTCATACAAAGGCTTGGCTAATACTGCAGTTTGGGATCCACAGCCTACAAAACCCCACAGCTCCTAAGAATTCTCTCACCTGCCTTCTGCCCTTAAGCTCCGGTAGATTGCAAATAACCTGCTTTCTTTCTGTTCCCGAGCTGCGTTCGGACCCGTCGGATCGTAAATCCCACGTAAGGTCGGAAGATTTGAACTTTCTACTTGGACACCTAACACCCACAGTCCTCCAGGTGGGTCCTAAGGATCTTAGGAGCAACGATGGGGGGGTCCTAAGCCAGGAGGGGAAGAGGGTCTGGCTCTCAGTCCCCGCCTCGCGGGGGGTGCCTCCCCCCTCTGCGATGGGGGTCCTAAGAGCCAGTGGGGGAACCAGGGGCTGGCTCTCAGTCCCTGCCTCGCGGGGGGTGCCTCCCCCCTGCGATGGGGGTACTAACAGCCAGGGGTGGAAGAGGGGATAGCTCTCAGTCCCCACTCTTGTGGTGGGTGCCTCCCCCTCCTGCGATCGGGGTCCTCAGAGCCGGGGGGCGGGGAAGAGGGTCTGGCTCTCAGTAATCCCACGTAAGGTACCTGCTGTCGGAAGATTTGAACTTTCTACTTGGACTACTAACACCCACAGTCCTCCAGGTGGGTCCTAAGGATCTTAGGATCAACGATCGGGGGTCCTAAGCCGGTGGGGGAAGAGGGTCTGGCTCTCAGTCCCCGCCTCGCGGGGGGTGCCTCCCACCTCTGCGATGGGGGTCCTAAGAGCCAGTGGGGGAACCAGGGGCTGGCTCTCAATCTCTGCCTCGGGGGGGTGCCTCCCCCCTCCTGCGATGGGGGTACCAACAGCCAGGGGCGGAAGAGGGGATAGCTCTCAGTCCCCACCCTCGTGGGGTTGCCTCCCCCTCCTGCGATGGGGGTCCTAAGAACCCGGGGGGGAAGAGGGACTGGCTCTCAGTCCCTGCCTCGCGGGGGTGCCTCCCCCCCTGCGATGGGGGTACTCACAGCCAGGGGCGGAAGAGGGGATAGCTCTCAGTCCCCACTCTCGTGGGGGGTGCCTCCCCCTCCTGCGATGGGGGTCCCCAGAGCCAGGGGGGGAAGAGGGACTGGCTCTCAGTAATCCCACGTAAGGTACCTGCCGTCGGAAGATTTGAACTTTCTACTTGGACAACTAACACCCACAGTCCTCCAGGTGGGTCCTAAGGATCTTAGGATCAACGATGGGGGGTCCTAAGCCGGGGGGGAAGAGGGTCTGGCTCTCAGTCCCCACCCTCGCGGGGGGTGCCTCCCCCTCCTGCGATGGGGGTCCCCAGAGCCAGGGGGGGAAGAGGGACTGGCTCTCAGTCCCTGCCTCGCGGGGGGTGCCTCCGCCCCCAGCGATGGGGGTCCTAAGAGCAAAGGGGGGAAGAGGGGCTCGCTCTCAGTCCCCGTGTCGTGAGGGGTGCCTCCTCCCCTGCGATGAGGGTGCAAAGAGCCAGGGGAGGAAAGGGGGAGGTTCGCAGTCCCCGCCTCGCGGGGATTGCCTCCCCCACTGCGATAGTGGTCCCAAGAGCCAGGCGGGGAAGAGGGGTTGGCTCTGAGTCCCCGCCTCGCGGGGGGTGCCTCCCCCCACTGCGATGGGAGTCCCAAGAGCCAGGGGGGAAGAGGGGATGGATCTCAGCCATCACAAAATGGGGGGCCTTTATATTCAGGTTTTACCCAAGAATCAGCTTATTTGCTTCTTGTACTAGCAGGGCAGTTGCTGCCAAGGCCCTCTAATAGGGGGGCCATCCTTTAGAAACCTGTCTAGTTGTTTAGAGACGTAGGCTACCGGCCTCAGCCAGGGCCCCACAGTTTGGGTTAAAAGTCCAGCTGCCATCTTTTCTCTCTCTGACGCATACAATGGAAAAGGCTTTGTCAGATCGGGTAGCCCCAGGGCTGGGGCTGCCAGAAGTTTTTCCTTTAACTAATGAAAGACTTGCTGTTGTCGGGATCCCCATTTCAAAGTTTCCGGGTCCCCGCCCCCTTTGTGACCTCATACAAAGGCTTGGCTAATACTGCAATGTTTGGGATCCACAGTCTACGAAACCCCACAGCTCCTAAGAATTCTCTCACCTGCCTTCTGCCCTTAAGCTCCGGTAGATTGCAAATAACCTGCTTTCTTTCTGTTCCCGAGCTGCGTTCGGACCCATGTCTTATTGTAAATCCCACGCAAGGTACCTGCCGTCGGAAGATTTGAGCTTTCTTCTTGAACACCTCATACCCACAGTCCTCCAGGTGGTTCCTAAGGATCTTAGGATCCCCGATGGGCGTCCTAAGCCAGTGGGGGAAGAGGGGCTGGCTCTCAGTCCCCGCCTTGCGGGGGGTGTCTCCCCACCCTGTGATGGGGGTCACAAGAGCCAGAGGGGGAAGAGGGGCTGGCTCTCAACCACCACGAAATGGGAGGCCTTTATGTTCAGGTTTTGCCCAAGAGTCAGCTTATTTGCTTCTTGTACTAGCAGGGCAGTTGCTGCCAAAGCCCTCAAATAGGGAGGCCGTCCTTTAGCAACCCTGTCTAGTTGTTTAGAGACGTAGGCTACCGGCCTCAGCCAGGGCCCCACAGTTTGGGTTAAAAGTCCAGCTGCCATCTTTTCTCTCTCTGACGCATACAATGGAAAAGGCTTTGTCAGATCGGGTAGCCCCAGGGCTGGGGCTGCCAGAAGATTTTCTTGTAACTCATGAAAAACTTGCTGTTGTTGGGATCCCCATTTCAAAAGTTCCGGGTCCCCGACCCCTTTGTGACCTCATACAAAGGCTTGGCTAATACTGCAAAGTTTGGGATCCACAGTCTACAAAACCCCACAGCTCCTAAGAATTCTCTCACCTGCCTTCTGCCCTTAAGCTCCGGTAGATTGCAAATAACCTGCTTTCTTTCTGTTCCCGAGCTGCGTTCGGACCCGTCTGATCGTAAATCCCATGTAAGGTACCTGCCGTCGGAAGATTTGAACGTTCTACTTGGACACCTAAAACCCACAGTCCTCCAGGTGGGTCCTAAGGATCTTAGGAGCAACGATGGGGGGTCCTAAGCCAGGGGGGGAAGAGGGTCTGGCTCTCAGTCCCCGCCTCGCGGGGGGTGCCTCCCCCCTCTGCGATGGGGGTCCTAAGAGCCAGTGGGGGAACCAGGGGCTGGCTCTCAGTCCCTGCCTCGCGGGGGGTGCCTCCCCCCCCCTGCGATGAGGGTAGCAACAGCCGGGGGTGGAAGAGGGGATAACTCTCAGTCCCCACCCTCGCGGGGGGTGCCTCCCCCTCCTGCGATGGGGGTCCTAAGAGCCAGGGGGGGGAAGAGGGACTGGCTCTCAGTCCCTGCCTCGCGGGGGGTGCCTCCCCCCCTGCGATGGGGGTACTAAGAGCCAGGGGTGGAAGAGGGGATAGCTCTCAGTCCCCACTCTCGTGAGGGTTGCCTCCCCCTCCTGCGATGGGGGTCCTCAGAGCCAGGGGGGGAAGAGGGTCTGGCTCTCAGTAATCCCACGTAAGGTACCTGCTGTCGGAAGATTTGAACTTTCTACTTGGACAACTAACACCCACAGTCCTCCAGGTGGGTCCTAAGGATCTTAGGAGCAACGATGGGGGGTCCTAAGCCAGGGGGGGATGAGGGTCTGGCTCTCAGTCCCTGCCTCGCGGGGGGTGCCTCCCCCCTCTGCGATGGGGGTCCTAAGAGCCAGTGGGGGAACCAGGGGCTGGCTCTCAGTCCCTGCCTCGCGGGGGGTGCCTCCCCCCCCCTGCGATGAGGGTAGCAACAGCCGGGGGTGGAAGAGGGGATAACTCTCAGTCCCCACCCTTGCGGTGGGTGCCTCCCCCTCCTGCGATGGGGGTCCCCAGAGCCAGGGGGGGAAGAGGGACTGGCTCTCAGTCCCTGCCTCGCGGGGGGTGCCTCCGCCCCCAGCGATGGGGGTCCTAAGAGCAAAGGGGGGAAGAGGGGCTCGCTCTCAGTCCCCGCGTCGCGAGGGGTGCCTCCTCCCCTGTGATGAGGGTGCAAAGAGCCAGGGGAGGAAAGGGGGAGGTTCGCAGTCCCCGCCTCGCGGGGATTGCCTCGCCCCCTGCGATAGTGGTCCCAAGAGCCAGGGGGGGAAGAGGGGTTGGCTCTGAGTCCCCGCCTCGCGGGGGGTGCCTCCCCCCACTGCGATGGGAGTCCCAAGAGCCAGGGGGTAAGAGGGGATGGATCTCAGCCATCACAAAATGGGGGGCCTTTATGTTCAGGTTTTGCCCAAGAATCAGCTTATTTGCTTCTTGTACTAGCAGGGCAGTTGCTGCCAAGGCCCTCTAATAGGGGGGCCATCCTTTAGAAACCTGTCTAGTTGTTTAGAGACGTAGGCTACCGGCCTCAGCCAGGGCCCCACAGTTTGGGTTAAAAGTCCAGCTGCCATCTTTTCTCTCTCTGACGCATACAATGGAAAAGGCTTTGTCAGATCGGGTAGCCCCAGGGCTGGGGCTGCCAGAAGTTTTTCCTTTAACTAATGAAAGACTCGCTGTTGTCGGGATCCCCATTTCAAAGTTTCCGGGTCCCCGCCCCCTTTGTGACCTCATACAAAGGCTTGGCTAATACTGCAAAGTTTGGGATCCACAGTCTACAAAACCCCACAGCTCCTAAGAATTCTCTCACCTGCCTTCTGCCCTTAAGCTCCGGTAGATTGCAAATAACCTGCTTTCTTTCTGTTCCCGAGCTGCGTTCGGACCCATGTCTTATTGTAAATCCCACGCAAGGTACCTGCCGTCGGAAGATTTGAGCTTTCTTCTTGAACACCTCATACCCACAGTCCTCCAGGTGGTTCCTAAGGATCTTAGGATCCCCGATGGGCGTCCTAAGCCAGTGGGGGAAGAGGGGCTGGCTCTCAGTCCCCGCCTTGCGGGGGGTGTCTCCCCACCCTGTGATGGGGGTCACAAGAGCCAGAGGGGGAAGAGGGGCTGGCTCTCAACCACCACGAAATGGGAGGCCTTTATGTTCAGGTTTTGCCCAAGAGTCAGCTTTTTTGCTTCTTGTACTAGCTGGGCAGTTGCTGCCAAGGCCCTCAAACAGGGTGGCCATCCTTTAGAAACAGTAATATTAGTAACAGCAGCAGCATGTATTCACTGGGCACTTCTCAGTACCTGGCCTCATGGCTCCCACTTTGTAGGCGCCAGTGGGATCAAGAGAGGGCAACATTGCAACTCTCCATGCTCCTGCAATATCCATGGCTATTCTGTAGGTGGGTACACCAAGCACTGGTCCTATTGGTGATGAGAGTAATGGGATCAAGTAGACAGTTGAAAGATTTAGACTTTTTCTCATTTATTAGGAAAATCATGTGAAACTTAAAAAATTTTAAATTACAGTTGAAACAGAAGAAAAGTAATAGAGTAGAGTATATAAACATATTTGTAGAGAGAAGCTAGTTAAGAAATCGTAAAGTTGATAGATCCCAAGGACACATTAACAGAATGTTGACATTATACCAATGGAAAACCAAGGTGGAGGAAAAAAGATTGGTTGGTTGTCGAAGACATAGCGGATGATGAAATTGGCCCTTCCAAGGCTGGTGGACATCATGGGTGGTGATTTGCTAATGTCTCCCAGTTTTAACCAATTTGCTGCTTTAAAATCCTGTTGTCATCACATTTGTATTGCAAAGAAGCCACATGTCACTGAAAATGAAGGATACAGGAACACACTGTATAACCTTAAAAAAACTACTGCTCTAATGGTACAGAAGGCCTCCAAAGCCCTTTAAAAAACTAAAAAGAAATGTTCAAGCAGGCGGATGACAAAGTTCAGTATTTTAAAATTAGCCACAGTTAATCCAAATGAAAGTTAATAAATTCCACTAAAAGTCACTTCCAGCAACAATTCCTTTAAGAGTCAACTTATTTTTAAACCTACACAATGAATTTTAAATCAGAAGGGCTATTGATTCCTCAGAGGAGTTGCCCAAGTAATTGACTTTATATTTAAATAAATCTAAGATTTACAAGGAAGTGGATAGAGAAGACCCTCTGGTTTTATTTCTATTTTGAAGTCAGACTTTGCATGTTAGTACTGACCCACCCAAAACAGGCTTTCCTGTGGAGCCACACAGTTGGGAAGTCCCTTTGTTGCCTGTGTAGTTTGTGCATTTAGACCCTGCATTATTAATTCTAGCCATTCTATCTCCGCATTTTATTTCTCTGTGTTAGCCTTGTTAGACTACCATAAATTTTATTTGGGGTGTGGCTGGGTAACTGCCCATTCTCAGTCATACTCAGGCATGTAGGTGTACACACATGCACAGAAGCCAAGAACTATATTTCTCAATTTGCAGACAGAAAGACAACAGGTACAAAGCCCTAAGGATTATAAAGGTATGCTGCTTACCATCATCTTAGTGACCAAGGCAGCGAAGCTGTTTCTGTACCTTGGAACAGTCTTCCCTGACAAGCCAGAGAACAGTGATAAAGCCACCAGCCTTGGGATCAGGACTGAAAAGGCAAGAGTGATGGAGATTTCTCCTGCGCTAAGCCAAGAGAAGGTTTCAGCACTTCAGACAGCTCCCACCGAAGTAGCCGCGCTCCCAGCTGCTTGCAGATGTTGAAAAGGAAAGCCTCGGTTTGTCTTGAGGTTGTCAGCAGGTGCAAGACACGTAATAAAATGCAATGTGTTCCTAATTCATTGCATATCCTCAGCTTTAAATTTGGGTAGCAAAATGATTACTCTAGATTCTTCAGTCTTGGCAAGTATCTGTACCTAAAAAGCAGTTTTTCTACCTAATGTCTTTTTTTGTTTTTGTTTTTCAATACACCTTAAGCAAATTGAAGCTTTTGTTCCTGGAGGAAAAGTGGTTTGATATGTTCATCTATCTTTTAGTAAATTTGGGGGCATAACTTTTCCAATTCTGAGGAACTTTTCTAAGAAGAGTGCATAAAAGTTTGTTGTTGTTTTTAAAGGATGCAACATTCAGCCTGTGTCATGAGTTTAATTATACAATTTAAAGGACATATGTGCAATGCATTTTGCAGATGTGTGCCGGATATATATGTGCAGATAATGGGCAAGTATATATGTGTGCATATATATATCGGGAGTATACTATATAAACACACAATACACGCCCACCCACACACATTGTGTATTTTCCAGAAAAAAAAAAAAAAGCATGTCAGGACTTACATCTAAGTTAGAGATGCTGTTTAGAACCCCATTAAAAAATGTACATGTTATATCCCTGATTTGTTTCTCAGGACACCTGTGTTTATGTGAGAATCATTTCTAGACACATGTCACAATAAAAAGAAGGACATGTATACTCCAAGTTAAGATTTTTTAAAAAAAGATGGAGATCATCTGAAATAAAATTCAGAGCTCTTGCCTTTCCTTTCTCCTAGCGACACCTAGAGCCTGTTGAGAAAAAAACTGCACATTGTTCTCACTCCAAACATCCACAATTCAACAATTTTAAGTCAGATTTAAGGTAAAAAGTACATTTTTCCTGTTTGCATTGCAGCTTAACTGTCTTCCCCAAGATTCTCGGTAGTTTAATCCTCCAGAACTCTTCACCCTCCCCCAATTAAACCATTTGCCAAAGACTTGAACCAGATGACTGAAGGATCTGTCTATTTCCCTCAGGGCTTGGCCCACCAAAGTGAGGGACATGCCTTTGAATGACTATTGAACCAGGGGAGTCTGGAAATGATGCAGGAGAAAATCACAAAACCTCGTGCAAAATCTGACGCAGGGCTGTAGGGGGTGTGTACCTGTGTGTGTGCAAACCACATCTCCCACAAAGTTTTGTGATCTCCATTAAAGTTTCCACATCCTTCATTCATAAAACAAAAACTACCAATAACAACAGCAAAACCTCACTGATTTCATAGTATCTGGCAATTAGGAATTGTCCCTGGGAAATCACTCAATGTCTCACCGCCCCCCCCCCCCCGACCCAAACACAACTCTTGCACTAAAGAAATATGAAACAGGGAAACAGCATGGCTGGAGGCTGCAGAGGTAATGACCAAAACCACCTACTCAGTGCCGGGCAATGTACTGCCCTGGGTACGTCAGGGTAGACTAAGTGAGAGGCCGGTGGGACCCCTGCGGTTCCCAGGTTGAGCAGTTGTGAAACTCCTCAAAGGCATACATAGTAATTTCTACAAACCAACACAGCCTAGCTGTTATAAGAGCTGTACCAGCCAAGCCAGACCTGTTTCTCTGAGAGCCTGTCGGGGATTTTTCTCTTTTCCCTGGGAAAAGAAGGCCTCAAAGAAAAAGCACAGTTTCCTCCCTTCTAAGTCCTAGCAGCCCTCTGCATCCTTGAAAGGGATCCACAGGAGGTGGTTAAACGCATCCATCTAAGGTCCGGCTCCTGTCCTGCATGAGTCATTGGTTACTAGGGCGATGTGCAAATCCAACCTTTGAAACCCAGGCTTCCAGCCCCCATGAAGAGTAGGAAATGTGCTCTCGGAGAAGTTTTCACTGAACACGGTCTAAGGCAGAGGTGCTAGTCCAGGGCTGGGAGGGGAGACAGACACGGCCTGAGAGCTCTCAGCAAAATTGCTGGGCCCTGGGACAGAGGGTTGGGGCTCAGATGCCAGTATTTTGGTATTTTTTTTTTTCCGGAAAGGATAATCACCACCACCACCGCTGGGGGGAAAAAGTGTCTAGGAGAAGTAAGAAGAGGAACGAAGGAGAGGCATTTGAGTCAAGGGACAGAGTGAGTAGGAGAGGAGGGGCACGATGGAGAGATTCCAGACACAGGTGGGAGGGAGAGAAGGTGCCTGAGGCTGTGTTCCCGGAGCACGAAATAAATAAAAAATAAACCAACTCGTAAGCACAGGCCGATCGAATTCTCTCCTTAGGAACCATAGCAGCATGCTGTTAAAAACAGACATCCGCACATCCAGGGAACGTAAGGCGAATTCCAGATCCCAGCAGGCGCAGTACCCAAACCCCGCTCTCTCCAGCCACCAACTCCCGGCCGCCGCGGCTGCAGACACAGACCCGCTCCCTCCGGGACGGCGATGACCGCGATCTGGCGCCACGGAGCCTGTCTGGGGGCGCCCGGAGAGTCGTGGGCTGGGGGAGGGCGCCTGATTCCCCCCCCCACAGATGCCCCCGGCCGACGCGTCTCGCTGCGCGCTCAGCCCGGAGCCCCCGCCGCCGTCCCCCGCCCCCGAGAAGCTCTTACGTCCTCCTTGTCACCATCGCTCCGCGCCTGGTACTGGAACCGGGGCCGGCCATCCGCGCCGCCGCCGCCGCCGCCGCCGCGCTCCCGGGGCGCCGCCGCCTGCGCCCGCGGGCCGAGGGGCTTGGCTCCTGCGCCGCCGTCCTCCTCGGGCCCCTGGCCGCCCAGGAGGTGACTCGCCTCCGGGGGCGTGGGGAAGGACCTCGAGGTGTTGATCTTGCCGGTGAACCTCTGGTACAGCGAAGCCATCGGGCACCGCGCTCCTGCTGGCTGTCTTTAGGGCTTTTTAATATTTTGCTTTCTCTCCGGTTCCCACTCCCCACCCCGCTCCAGATTAAAAAAAAGGCGGTGGGGAGGCAGCAGCAGCAGCAAGGCAAGCCCAGCGCCGGCGACCGCTCCTCCCGCGCGCCACTCGCGAGTCTCCGCTGGCGACTCTACCTGGCTCAGCCTCCTCCGCCCCCTCCCCGGCGGCTCGCGAAGCCGGGGCTCTGGCTGTTCTTTCTCTCTTTCCTGTTTTTATAATTTTTTTCCCCAACTCCTTGCCACAGCCACGTACGGCCTAATCAAAGAGATTGAAGGAAGAAAAAAAACCAAAAACATAAAGCGAGGGAAATGCCTAGGCCCCAGAATTTGGCACCACCTAGAAACCCGCACACATTCCGAGCGCTCTCCTCGCTCCCCGCCCCCAGGCCCCTCGCGCAGCTCCTCCTCCACCCCGGCCCCTCCGCCCCCTTCCCCACCGGCCTCCTCCCCGCGCCCGGGACTGGCGCCTGGGTGGCAGGGGTTGGCAGCCCGGAGAGGGCACGGGGTCGCACAAAAAGGGTGCGAGGGTGCGTGAAGAGGGTGGAGGGGCGGGGACCACGCGGGTCGTGGGTGCGGGGGCGGTGGGGGAGTCCCGGGAGCTGAGGGTTCTGCGGCCCCGCCGAAGGTAGTGCTGCGCGTGCCCCGCAGCACGCGAGCGGACGGTGCAAGGGGATGCGGAGGTCGAGGCAGGCAGGCCGGCCAGGGGGCGACTGAAGGTGCAGCCGGCCCCGGGGCGCCCCAGCCACGCACGCGCTGCGGCGCCGGGCTCCCCGCGCCCCCAGCTCTTCTTGCCTAACTTGAAGCAACACCAGAGACACCCCGAGGACCTGGGGTGCAAATGGGGCGTGGGAGAGCCACCAGGAGGGCGCGGGGTGGTCGGACGACGCTGGTGAGGAGGCCGCCCTCCCTCCACAGCCCAGCTCCCTCCGAAACCGCCCCTTCCCTTCGCCTCTCTCCGGAGGAGAGCAGGAAAGGTCGCGGGGCGGCAGAGGACGCCCAGAGGCCCAGGCGCCCCTCGCGGGCGCTGCGCCCCGCAGAGAGCCCGGCTGTGACCGTGACTCCATTCTCATTATCATGAACGCAGGCGGAGGCTCGGCTCTCCGGCTGCCCGCAACTTTTCCAAAGCCTGCGCCTCACTGTGCCCGCCGAGAGCGAGGGAGGGCGACATGGCTCCACTCGCCGCGCGCTCTCGGGCTTGCCTCCTGCCCAGCCGCAGGAAGGCGCGCTCCAGCGCCCCTGTGTGGACACCCGCACCAGCGGGCTCCGCTCCTCCGCTCCAGGCCCGGCCTGGCTTCTCTTCCCCTCCCGGCCCTCCCGCGTCCTCCCCGGCTCCCTCCTGCACTCTTCTCCGTCCTTCTGGAGTTGCTGGGCACGCGTCTCTCTCGTCTCGTCCCCACGTCCTCCTTGCGCGCCCCTTCCAGCCCTTCCCGGCCGGGAAGGACCTATCACATCCAGAGAGCGAACGTGGGCCGGGAAACCCCAACTCCAGAGGGGGGAACCTGTGAGACCCGCCCCTGCCCATTCCGCCGCCTCCTTCCACATGGAGGTAGGTCGTTGGCTTCATCTCCCAGGACTGCTAAGGCTCCCTGCTCCTTCCGGGTTTCCATGCCTGTTTCCACTTAGGGTTTCAAAATAACAGGCTCGGCCGCCACGCACAAGGCTGACTGCAGGCTCGCCCCCAGCCTTGGCATTGCCCCAAGCCCAGAGAGAGGCCTGCCTGGGCCTGAAACTGCATGCTCCCTCTGTTTCCCTAACTGCGGGGGAGAATACTGGATGCCGGTGAACAAGTCTCCTGGGAAGAGACCTCCCTTCAGTCCCTTCCACCTGCCTCCCTTCCCCAAGCTTTCAATCCAGTGTGTAGTTTTTGGTTTAACCAAAATTTGTACCACGCTCATCTTCTGTTTACTCCACAGTAGTTACCCTTTACTATGAAGAAACATGAGTTTAAAAACACTTTAAAAAAATAGCAAATACAAAACCAAGTAAAACCAGGATTGCAACAGCTAAGCAAAACTTGCTGCATGGGAGAGGCCAGGCAGGTGGGTCTGGGGTGGGGAGAGCTTCAGCTGCTCCATTTGACTTTGAAGACAGAGGCAACAGAGCCATAAAACTAAACTTTAAAAGTCACCACAATTAGATAGATAGAAAACCTTGCTCTCAACCCCCTCCTCTGCCCCAGCTGTGCTTTTGATGGGAGGAAGCTGCCTCTCCTAACATGGACATGAAAGAAAGCTCATGCTATTCACCGCAGCATCGCGATCCTGACATTTCACTAAATATAGATGCAGTTAGGGTCCCACTTATGTAATATACATATGCTATCTATGAAATATGCATGCATATTTTTACACAAACTAAATGTCATACTAATATAGTTTATACAAAATACAATACTTATGCAGAATAGTTTATGTATCATACATGATACTTCATAGATGTGTGCATATTAATCATAGAATACTATTGGGATAAAGCATATGTGCCACTTTTAAAAATTATATTCTCAAAGCATTGTAGGTAACTATAATCTAACCAAAGTTTAAAATCTCAAATTATCTAAGAAAATATGATAAGCGATTTCTGCTTAAAATTATAAAATGAAATCACCATAAAACTCATAAGCAACAGGGGAAAGAGTTGAAATAAAAATTTGTGCTGGGAAGCAAATCTCACAATTAAGCAGAAGAAACGGAGGGCAGGGGAGGAGGGCAGGAAAGAGCGAGCGTCTGAAAGATGCAGGTGTGAAAGGAGCCGGAATGCTGGGGAGGACTGGAAACAGCATGGATGAACACGAGGATGTTCCTCAAGGATGATCCAGATGGAGCGCCCTTTACCCAAATTGAAAAGCGCTTGGCTATACTCTTGCAACTTGCACACTGAACGCGGTGCTTCTAGGGACATTTTAAAGAATGTTCTGGCCGGGCGCGGTGGCTCACGCCTGTAATCCCAGCACTTTGGGAGGCAGAAGCGGGTGGATCACGAGGTGAGGAGATTGAGACCATCCTGGCCAACATGGTGAAACCCCATCTCCACTAAAAATACAAAAATTAGCCAGGTGTGATGGTGGCGCCTGTAGTCCCAGCTACTCAGGAGGCTGAGACAGGAGAATTGCTTGAACCCGGGAGGCGGAGGTTGCAATGAGCCGAGATCGCGCCACTGCATTCTAGCCTGGCGACAGAGCACGACTCCATCTCTAAATAAATAAATAAATAAATGTTCTATACCTCGTGTGTATGTGCATGCACGTTTATGCACCCACACATCCAAATTTGTGTTAAGCACGGATACACACATTGCAGTCGAGGGTGTGAGGACACTGTGGTCCCACATATAAAAGAATAAAGTGGTTAGTATGTTAGAATAAGTGAAGTGATACAATTTTAAAGACTGGCAAGCTATGGCATGTTATGTTTATGATGTATAATTAATTCAATTCTTGTCTCTAATCACCTTTCACCTCCCCTTATCCACACACACACACACACACACACAAACAAGGAAAAAGATACCCCGAAGAGGAGCAAAAGTACCCAATGGGCATTTCAAAATAGGTGTAGTGGTTCGGAAGGAAACATGTCAATATTTCCCTCTACTCAATTTCTCCTTGAACGTCTGAAATACACTGTGGCGATGAAGCAGATTTTTATTCCTACTTATTGGGTGTGAGAAAATATTTTTGAAAATATTTTGCAAATTATTTAATGTCGAGTTTAATTCTTCCATGCTGCTCCAAACCAAATGCCCCCAACCCATTTTTCTATCTAGTTTCATATGATTAGTGCTTCCCTATTTATTACAAAGGTGTGGGTGTGTGTTTATTTTCCCTAGAACAAATTTACAAAACAAATATAAGTCATTGGGATTAGGCAGATGCTGCAAAATATGTTGGATAGTCATTTTTAAAATGACAATGAAGGCAAATTTTTGGTCTACCTGCAAGCTAAGCATTGTAGGAATAACAAAAGTACATCCATTGAGTTCAGCAGCCTAAGCATGATTTTTATTAGCTAAAAGGTTTTCTTATTTCTGAGAGAATTATATCCTGTAGTTGACTTCCCTTTTCTCTGGGTGCTGAGGGAGAAGGACAGAACCATATTTAAGACTGTTTTTTCTTTTCCAAATACTAATATTTGAAGAAATGAAATGGCTAAGTTAGCATACTCTGAAGGAAGGTCTTCCCTAAAACAGTGGGCATCACTGTCTTTTACATATTATCAGCTTGAACTCATAAACGGGGAGAAATTTTAAAAAATCTGGGTAGCTTGAGAAAACACAATGCTAAATGCATAAATAGAAGGCATATTCTCCACTCTGAAAATCTGTTTCTCACTCTCTATCTCTCAAAGCATGTTTGGTTTCTTGTTTCCGTTTTTGTTTTTTGCAAGAGAACTCTCCACTAGGGGCTGGGTAGTAAGACCTTTTACACACCTTCAAACAGGAAATATCCAGCACACACACACATACACACACACACAATAATTGCTATTTCAGGCTTTTGAAAAACAGAGTTAAAGTATGAATTGGGTCAATTTGGGCTTTTCAACTTAATACTTAAAAATTATGTTTTATGTAAAATCATTTGTTGTAACCCAATAAATAGCCTTTCTCTAACATCAGTAAAGTTAAGCTTCAATCTCCCAATAGCACATGTCTCTGCATTTTAGCCCTACCATTGTGTCACTGCTTGGATCTTACACAGTTCAAAACATACGTACAACTAACTACACTAGTGTCATGTACACAAACACAGTGGTTGATTAACACGAGTGTTAAGGTTTATCGCCAGGTGAGCTGCACAAGCTTTTGATCCTACGCAAATGGCTGGTGCCAACCTCATCCCATGTTTTCTCTGTGGCCCCTCGGAGGGCTGCTCACAACCTTACCACCTTCCTCTAGGATTCTCCCCTAGTTCTTCATCTTGCCTTTCTACATTTAACCATAATCGACTCTTCTCCTCCCACTTTCTAACTACCTTTCTTCACTTCTGTTGTCTTGCCTTCATGCATGTCCCTTCTCTGCATCAATATCTGTAGGCTATACGTAGAATATATATTATTTTCTCTAAAACTTCCTTGCTGCCCTCTGAATAGTTATCAAATCTTGCCTTGTGCTACCAACATTGCCTCAGAAATTATCCAAATAATCACCTCTCACCCTGGAGGAGGCACGAACTCCTGTCATTTCCTATTTTCTGGTGACACAATGATCGTTTCCACAGTGCTTCCCAAGGCTCTTAGGTTTTTGGAGCATGGGGTATAGAAGACTGTCTTCTCTTTCTGTTTGTCCCTGGTGATCATTTGACCATAACCATGTTGTTCTCCAAAACGTCTTAGTTCATAGATCAAACTGTATTAGATTAAACGAGATATGACTTCTGCTCCAAAGTGCCCCTAGAGCGCCTTGCCCTTTTCAAACCACACACTTCTTAGGGTCAGGTGAATTAAGTTAAATATGATTCCCTTCAATGTTAAAGTGATAGGAATGAGTCTCTGCACTTCAGTGCTTTAATTTTGTAACCAGGAGAGGTGATGGCTGCATTCAGAAAAGAAGAGAAAGCTTGTGTCTGTTCTCTCTGCTGACCACTGGCATGCCTTGTGAAGGACCAAGTCCTGCTTGCGGTATGGTCAGCCTTAGAACTGTCTGTGAGCCGCAGGGAACAAGGGCTTACACTGTCTTCTGGGGACATTGGCATCAGCCCAGAGGCATTCTCAGGCTTTGACTTCAAAGCAACAGCGAAACCAAAATGGATAAAGATAGGGTCAGTCAAATGCAACGTCTTTTCCTGACAGCAAAACAAACAGAGCCAGTGTCAACTCATCAAATCCTGCCACGTAAATTGGTACTCTCCTGCAGGCTAATAGAAACAGTTACAGAAAGTGGAAAACTTGACTTCACTAAAAATTACTGCAGTTACAAATAAAGGAAGGGGGTATAGTGTATTTCTAAAATGTGCATCTGGACTAAGATTTAGGGAGGGTTGAGCGTGAGCACAACTTAATTCACCCCCGAAAGAGAAGGCTTGTCAGCCAGAAATAACAAAATAAGAAAAGCCCAGCAAGTTGGCCCCCAGGTCCAAGTACTGCAGATTCCAGTGTATCTTTCCATCTCTTCTTCCAACAACACAATGACTGTGAAACATAAGGAGGGAAGAGGAAATAGTCTTCCTTTATGTGACAAACCCCCTTTTCAGATGTTCAGTGGGACAGTCTGAGTAGCAGCGTCTTCTTTCAAGAGCATAATATAGCGGAGCATGTGATTGCATTTCCAACCTATAAATATCCAGCTCCTGAACACTCATCTTTGAGTTCTAAATGGAATAAGCCATTATTTCCATATTCAAAACTGTAACAGACTGGAATGTTGTTCAGCAAATACTACTCTCCACCCCAGGCCCCCTGCAGGGAAGCATCTTAACCTGTCCCCTGACACCTACTGCCACCCTGACTTTGAGACTGGTCATGTGACTTACTTGGACTAATGGGATGTGCGTGGACATGATGCAGGCAGAGGCTTTGCAGCTGCTTGCATACCCTGGCTGGCTTCTGCACTCTGATGATCCACCATACAAAAACATGTCCCTATTGACAGCCGATGCTTTAGCCTGGCCCCAGAACAAACACACTTGGAGAAGACCTCAATACAACCCACAGCCTGGGGCTAAGCCAGATAATTGGGGAGCACAAAGCAGTCTCTTAGCCGAGCCCAGTGTAGACCAGCTGAATCACAGTTAACCAGCAGAAATGTGGGTCTTGGAATAAATACTTGTTGGGTAAGTCACTGAGGATAATTGGTTAAACAGCATGCTTGTGTCATTAAAGCCAAATCAATGCATGAAAAAATGGCATGGTCAAGTCCATGCTTCTTGTAGGCATTTCACTTATTCAGTTAACACCTGAGCACTGACTATGTGCCATTCATTGTGCTATGTTCTAAGGATGAAATGATGAACTACAGTGAACTTGCTTTCATGCAGATGATCATCAGTACTCCTCAAAGTGAAGCAAGACTGATACTACACATTATCCGACTGATAATGCTTTTCTTTTGTGAATAGATGCCGTTTTCTCAATTTCTTGCTCCTTTTGGTACATTTGGAGCACTGCTAGTCTTACTACAAAAGGACTGTTAGAAACCACTAGCTTGCAAATGTGTTCACAATAAAGCTGTGATTTATTTATTATAGCAGCACCAAGTAGCATTTTTAATCTACTCATACAGTGGCTTTCAAAGAGTTGTTTCTGGACCAACAGTGAAAGCATCATTCAGGGACTTGTTGGAAATGCAGATTCGTGGGCCCTGTCTCAGACCAACTGAAACAGAAACTCAGGGCTGGGGCCAGGCAAGCTGCATTTAACAAGCTCTCCAGATGATTCTGATGCATGCACAAGTCTGAGAACCACTGCACTAGAGCAATGTACTAGAGCAATTTTCTTCATGGCACCAAGGTGACCTGGAAGATTTCTCAAATGTTTGCTCAGGTTTCAGATAACAGCTTATACATTTAAAGGATTGGACAAGGATTCTCCTAAGGGTAAGGATTTTTCAAGAATAAAAAAAAGAAACCATTTAAATGAGGGAGGGAGTTTTTTTTTTTTTTTTTATCTTTGCTAAGACTTTATTCAGAATCAAAAAAGAATGCAGTCCATTTAGTCTTTGCAGGACATTTTCAGAAGCTGTTTCGCCCTTGAACTGATGTTTAAGTTTCATGTCAGGAAGAAGGTAGAAATCAAAAGGGAATTGTCAAAGCAAAGGCAAAGATATGGTCAAACTATCATACCACAACTGTTGTGGCTTATCTGAGATACTCTGATTTTGTACCTTAGCAGAGAGCCTTTCCCATCTTGCCAGAACATATGCAGTTTGGCAGAAGAACTCTGCAGAACTGCAAAGAAAAAAAAGCCTTACTTTCAAACACTGATTTCATAAAAAAATCTTCCGTGCCTCTAGTTTGGACTCATTGCTTTTTTAATGCAATAAAAAAATCCTGTCCTTAATTAAAAATCAATAAAGTTAATAAACATTTAAAGTTGAAACCTGACTTTTATGAACTTAATTCTCCTGAATCCACTCCTTTCAAGCATGTTAAAGCGTTCATTATAAAATCCATTTAATTTTATTTTTCACCATCACTTAAGATTCCCTCTAAATTTCCATGTACAAATGGAAATATCTACAAATTTAAAAAATGGGTTGATGCTACTTTAGGTAGATCGGTAGCTTTTCTTGAATTTTAACATATTCTCTGAACCACAGGTGCATGTTTAATATTTATAAGCAAATATCAGTATACACACAATAGATCTTAAATATGGAGAATGAAACCTAACCTGGAAAAAGAAATACCCCACACAGGAGGTATCAGTGCAAAACCCTGATTCATGCATATATGTGGGTTCTCATTAATGAAAACAAATTGCATTAGGAGCAATAAAACTGAAATGAAACCATGTATCTGCTTCTTGTGGGTAATTTAATTCACTGTGGACTGTAACTTTATCAGCACCACTATGCCCATTTCCGAACAATTTCCTTCTCATAAAGGGGAAAAATAGGTTTGTCTATACTACTAATTGCATTTCAAATCATAATAATTTGGTAATCAAAAAAGTAATTCTCTCAACAATTACTTATATTTTGCTTGAGAGGTACCACCGAAATTGCCCATTGGCTAAATAAATCCACGAGTCACATGAGCCTGCAATTTGATCAGCCTTTTCCCTCACTCACAGCAGCAACAACAGTGACTCTCAGCTGCAGCGGGATGAGGTGGGTCCTGTTTGTGCCCCGAATTTGTGCTCTGAGTCCCTGATGGGATTCCATTAACTCAGTCCTCTGCAGCGCACCCATAATCATCACCATTGTGCTCCTGTATAACCCAGCAATACCCAAATTACATCATTGATGCAGACCCATTTCAGTCTTTGTGGGAAAAGTTGGATAAATTAATGCTTTCAAAGGACTTTGAAGGCTTTCTTAGCCATCTTGGGGTAAAAGAAGAAGCAGTGTAAGGCGATATTTACATCTGCCTTTCAGGATTCCTTTTTAAATTTCTCTCTCTCAGGGCTCTGATATCATCCACAACTTCAAGTCCAACTCAAAATGAGATGTAAATGGTTGATTGTGGTCTCAATGAATGCTGAGTTTCCCAATTGAGATATTCAAATCCCTAGGATAACTATCTTCCTTGAGTAGGCAATTTTATCAAATAACATAGAATTATCCAATCCAAATATACCAGGAGATGGAATACCGAACTCATGAGTATTCCAAGATAAAACACAAGACTTCCAATAAGATACCTGGTTATAATACTGATCCTCGGGTGGTATACTTATCTGAGCATTTAATGAAAATCTTGGAATAGGTCCTTTTTTTTTTTTTTTTTTTTTGAGATGGAGTTTCATTCTTTTTACCCAGGCTGGAGTGCAACGGCATGATCTCAGCTCACTGCAAACTCCACCTGCTGGGTTCAAGTGATTCTCCTGCCTCAGACTCCCAAGTAGCTAGAATTACAGGCATGCGCCACCAGAGCTGGCTAATTTTGTATTTTTAGCTGGGGTAGAGACAGGGTTTCACCATGTTGGTCAGGTTGGTCTCGAACCCCTGACCTCAGATGATTCGCCCACCTTGGCCTCCCAAAGTGCTGGGATTACAGACATGAGCCACCGTGCCCAGCCAGTACTCACTTTTTATCTACTGATTATATCTACATTTTATTAAGTCCACCAATCAAAAAACTTCAAGCCTAGAACTTCATAGGTAGCTCCTGATTTCCTGGGAAGGCAGCCTGCTTGGATTTGTCCATATGACTAAAAACAGTCTTCATGATGTTTTTAAATGATGGCATTGCCAAGGCATAGAGCATCTCAATGGGTAAACTACACCCAACTCTTGGTTTCTACCCTGATTAAAGTGGAATGTTGGCAATTTCTTGAATCAATTTTCACAGCTATAGGAAGAGAATAAAAGCAAGTGATCCACAGACTCTTCTATCTCCCATTGAAGTCGTTGGTCTTTGAGGAAAAATAATCACTAAATGTAATGCAATTCTAGTTTGCCTTAAACTCTTCACTGAGAAGGGGGCTGGAGAGCTCCACAAGTTGACTAGCCCATACCTTGTCCCAGATTCGGTGACTTTTAGCTCAGGGATAATGTCACCTTATCATTTCCCTTCATTGTATTGGTCATATCTAACTTCTCTTGGCATGACGGAAGAGTTCTACAGTGCTATCTTCTATTGCTCCTCCACTTAGAAATAATCCTACGTTTGTACTGCACCGAACACTGAGAAAAGCTTGACATTTTTCATCCAATTAGTGCTTTGGATAAGACCGGAAGGTTTTTGTTGTTGTTTTCCAAGAGGAAACTATATAAATTTTCCTGTGAGCATGGTTCATGTATTCTTCCGTCTTATTGGAACACCTGCTTGTATGGCCAACCTTTCATTGGTTGCCCCCGTGCTGCACCCATATCCCTTCTCACTTATTTACCTGCCAATATAGAATATCCACAAGTTAAGGGTGTCCACTTGATGAAGCAGAAATAAAAAGTTTTCTGGGAGGCTGTGGCAAAGATTATTTTTCTCTCTGGTAAGAGAGAGTGGTCAGAGGAGGGACCCCTCCCCTGGCCTGCCAACATCACTTCCTCCTGTTTTCTGTCTTTGAACATAGTTGTGTGAGGATTTGATGCTCAAAGTTGCTGTAGCCTTTTTGAAACTATGAGAAGAGGCCAGGCGCCGTGGCTCACGCCTGTAATCTCAGCACTTGGGGAGGCCAAGGTGGGTGGATCACGAGGTCAGGAAATCGAGACCATCCTGGCCAACATGGTGAAACCTCGGCTCTACTAAAAATACAAAAATTAGCTGGACCTGGTGGCGTATGACTGTAATCCTAGCTACTCGCGAGGCTGAGGCAGGAGAATCACTTGAACCAGGGAGTCAGAGGTTGCAGTGAGCCAGGATTACACCACTCACTGCACTCCAGCCTGGCCACAGAGACAGACTCTGCCTCAAAAAAACAAACAAAAAAACAAACAAACATGAGAAGAAGGGGCCAGTGTTTGCAAGGATGCACACCTTGAGCCCTGAGAGCATGCAGGTACTGAACTAAAACCAGAATCCTCTTCCCACCCAGATAAAATCCCCCGGGCTTAGGCCCTTTCAGCCAGGAATTGTTTCACAGCCAAAAGCGTTCCTGTAGGACATACTGCACACCTGGTTCTTCCACTGCCTGGCTCTTGCACCAGGATAGGTCGCTAAGCATCAGACGCTCATCTATGGCATAAGCATGCTAAGAGAGGCCAATCCTATCAGCTTTATTTAAGCACAGAGCTCCCGAGAGGGCCAATCAGTTGTTACAGAGGGGAAACCTCAAAACTTCTTTGATGTACCTAACCTTTAAAACACATATGGCCGCCTGTAGCTCACAATCTAAAAAGAAAATCATCAAGCCTTCCCACCTGATTATTTGTTATTGTCCATAACTCTGAGGAAAAATACCACTGTATTTGGGCTTTTTATTGATTTTTGCACATTTCTTCAACTAGAAAATCTGGAGGCAAATGTGTGTCAATGCTCGAAGGCCTCTTAAATATGTGAAGAGAAGAGAACATGTTTTGTGAGATGTTTTCTATCCAGGATTGGTAAAGCCACAGAGGAGGAGTATGAGTCTGAAAGAGGAGGGTAGAGGAAGGACAGAGGAGGAGGGAGAGGGGAAAAGAGAAATAATGCTTTAGCAAATTTATTTTAAAATAACACTCTTATGTTTATCTGCACTTTATATTTAGGTTGTGTTGAAATGCAAAACCCTGTTGCCCTAAAGAGACTCCCAAGAGGCTGACTTTGAGCTGGCATCATAAGAGCCAGTTTGGAACCCACTCCACCAAGGCTGCTATGAGTTGAAGATGACAGGCTTGAAATCCTCTTCCCGGGGCAGGAGGGAAGAGCTGCACAGGCCATGTAGCACGCAGGCTAAGTGTGCATTCAGAACACTAGTAATCAGAATAGGAATCACAGTTAAAGGAAAAATGTTCCAGCCCCTAAGAACATATATAGAATTTTGTACCCAGAATATGTGGGAAAAAATACTTTCGGCACACATGATATTGCTTTTATTAGTTAACAAAATAAATTATCCTTCTGGAATTGCATATGGGAGAGGCAACATGATTTGATGAGTGTTTAGGGACTTTGAGTCTTAATCCAGCCCATAGAATTGTTGTTTGAATGTGAGTCTCGCTCCATATTTACCAGCCTTGTTTATATAAGGCAGGGGTCAGCCACTAACAGATTCTACATGCAGAGTCTATGTTGCAGGTCATCTTACACAGAACTGGTGTTGAGAACAGAAAGCAAGAGAAACAGCCTCATGAAGCGTGCTGCCTTATCTTGCAACATATTTTGATGATTTAGACCTCGTGTGTTTTTCCTTATTTTGATCCAGGTGAATAAATCAGCATTAAAAAGTGACAAAAAAACACTTCTTACAGCTTCATGGATTTCTCTTTTATTCTCCTTTCTTCTTACTGCTTCTCTTTCCCACCTATGCCACACCAACAGCATCCTCCGTGATAGCACCCCTATCTTTGCAAAACAACTGGTAGATCCTCTCCACTTACAGTTTTTGATTTGTATAACCCTCGGATGAATTCAGCCAACTGCAAAAATAAAAGCAGCCGAACAAACAACAGCAAAGCCAAAGCAAAACAAAACAAAAAGAACCTTATAAAAGCGCTGCTGTTGAGCACACTGAGAACAACTTGGAGCTTGACCTCGCCACTTGGGGGCGCCCTGGGAGCTCAGAAATGCAAGCTCCGTCCAGCCCCGGGAGCCCGGGCTGACTCAGGGCAGCCCCTTCCTTCTGACTACACGGTTTCTGTATTCAACTAACCACACGGGAAATGAGACTGCCTTTTAGAAGACTTTTGTTTCCTATGAAAAGGAAGACTGCTGCGCTATAAATGTTTTAAATGCTCTCCGAAATATTAAAATCAAGTCAGTAAATGAACCATAACTCTGTCTTCTCATTTATTGAAGAGTCAGATATTCCAGGAGGAAGGGGAGGGCAGAAAATGAAACTAATTTCCGTTTATCATGGAGGATGGACAGATCAGATAGATGAGTTTGTGTGCAAATAATTCAGTGATTCAGAAGGGATTCTGGATCACTTTTCACTGGGCCATTGGTGGGTGGGACACAACACTGGCTGAGAGATAGTGATGACACTGAGTTAAAAAACAAGCATTACTGGGCCCAGATTGCCTTATTCCACCTATCATGGAATAAAAAAGAAATCCAGAAAAAAGAAAGAGGCTATGCTGTGATGGCTGACAGACTCTGAGGAAATTGCAAATACACTGAGGACCTTGGAGAGCAGCCTCAGATGATCACTTCTGCACCTGTCTTCTTGGAGAACAGGAATTTTCTGATCTTTGAAAAACTACAGATTCATCGTCCAAGAAAACCCAGCTAATTTGTTTTCAATCAGAGTTTCAAAAAGGCATATTTTCCTGTAAACTGGCAATGTACCTGGGAAGCTAGGACATCAAGAGATCCACCGGGCACCTCCAGATGAACTCTGAATTTATTCGTAAACTCTCATCCCATGAAGGGTTTTACTGAAGAATAATAAAAGATTCTACTTTGGGGTAGCTTTATAACCATACGTTTCACATGCATTGTCTTATAAGGGAAAAGTCCTGGGGTAAAAGTAGGAGAGAGTTTGGGTTCAAACCCAGGTCTGAGTGCTGCATCTTGCAGGAAAATTCCCAGTAATCTTTGTCCACTGACTTCTGTCATTTCATTGACTCATTCACTGGAAACACATTCCAGGATGTTGTGAAATTAAATTTCCAGATGGCACAACCATAGGCTTACTTTAAAGCCCAGCTCACACACCACCTCCTGGCTTTTGAGGTCTTCCATGATTCTTTAAGGAGTTACTACTAGCCTTGCCAAGTCCTCATAACATCTGCATGTGCCTGCCTTATAAAACACACCACTCTTTACCTTGTGCTATTCATCCATCTATTCATATGACACACATCAATGAACATCTGCCATGACTGGCCAAGTCCTATTTTCCCCATTATATGTTCCCTAAGAAGATCTATGTCTGATTACGGTTCATGCAAAAACTGTCATCTACAGGGTAGGAGTTCATTCGAATAAAGTTCACTTAAGACACACTTATCTACAAACAGTCTTCAGAGAGGTGATCGGATGGAAGATATTAACATGATTCTGGAGTCTGCTAGGAGCTGCTCTGACTGGTGGCTACTGAGATACCAGTGACGGGAAGGTGCTACATCGTTAACAACAGTGCCTTTCAAAAATGATGAACTATAATCTACTGGTAGGTCATATTTAAAATCTGTTATAAAATCAGCACGTGATTTTTTTTTAAAATTGAAAAATCTGCCATGCTGTGTTTTTCAACTGCATGTGGGGTGGGCTCCTTCCAGACAGACAGGCTGTACTGCTGGATACCTCCCTGTATCTCCCCAGTAGAGGACAGACTCCTTGAGAGGAGGGACTACTTCCATCTCCTTTGCTGTTCATAACCAGTGTTTGTCACGGTGCCTGGAACACTCGAGATGGGCAACAAGTATTTGTCAAATGAATGAATGAGGCTATGACAACAAAAGTAACAAAATCATGGTAGGCAAGTCTGTGTTTCTATTATATGTAAGAACTGCTGAAATCAGTTTAGAGAATCTTTCTCTGAATGTATCATTATATGTTTTATGTGTGGGGGATTTATTAGCTTCTAACATCTTAGATTCCCAAGGTGAGTATGAAAAGAGAAATCACTGTCATATCAATGAAGCAAGACATCTAGATATATGTGTTATCAAGTTAGGTTGTTGCCATAGGACTCCAACGGTGATTTATTAAGGAAAGGTACTCAGTGCACCAGGGCTGGGTGGCCACAGTGCCCTCCATTACCTCCTAGCAGCTTTCAAGGGTGAAGAGAGCTTCCATCCAGAGGAAGCTTAACAGGGTGAATAGGGAAAGGGCTTTCATTTGGGATTTTTCCTACATTTTAGTGGTATAGCCATTTATATCTAAGAGGCTAATGAAAACACATCCTAGAGAAACTAATACTGCAAAATGACACTTGGGATAGATAGGAAAACCTCTTAGGGTGGTTTATGTATCAAAAATAGATTAATACCACTGATAAGAAGCCCACATAATTTTTCCACACTTTGAAATTAATTCATTTCTTATATATACCAGTGGTATTAAATGTTTTGATTATTCACTCATTTATTCGTCTATTAAGTAATTTGGATTAAGTGTTCTTTTTAATTACAGCATCAGTAATTTTTTAAAAACAACTCTATAAATATTTGCTCAAAGGGCTAACAGTGAACCCCTGAAAAATACATGTGACTGCAGGCTGGAGACTGTGGATAAGGCTGCCATGAGGTCCTGGGAAATGTCTGTTAGAGTGCCAGGAGCAGCTGTGTTTCAGTGAACACTTCAGAATACCAATGGGGAAAGTAAGTTCATAGAATATAAACCAACTGAACTCTTTTCTCCCATGTGCCTCCCAGGGTCAAAGCTGGCTCTCTCCTCTCTGGTTCCTGGGAAGGCCGTCTTCCTACCAAGCTCAAAGCTGCTCTTGTACAGTGTACTTACTGATTTTATAATTAACATGACTTTCACTGAGTCTAGAGATTTTCAAATGTCTGGATCAGAGACTCATGGGCCACAAATCAACCTTGAACTGAAGAAACTAAGAAAGATCCAACAAAACAGTATTGTAGTTGTGAATATTATTCACAAATAGATTTCTTAATTTCCTTTTGCCTTGGGATAGAGTTTCTACTGCGGTTGCAGGTGACCAGGCCCACTCACCCACCGTGTGCCTGCTGGGTCTGTAGATGCCAGGGAATATCACCTTCCCCACTGGAACATGGATTATGGATGAGTGGTGCAGACATCAGAGTTAGAGTTGGCACGCTATGTCCCCCCTCCCTCTTCCTATACGCAGTTGTTTTTCCATGGACACTGAAGTATGGCAAGTGACTACCAAAGCGGCAGTTTTGCTTGGAAATCCCACTTCCTAGAAGAAAAATACCCCTTGCTTGAACGGGTAAAATGCGAAGTGGTCCATCTGCTGCCCATTTCCAATCGTACTTCCAGAAAAAGGGCAAAAATAATGCCCAGGGTATGATGTGCCTGTGCACCATCTAAGCTGGGGCTCCTTCTGTATCTCAGTTGCCCAGGAATGATTAGACCCAGCACCTGGATGGCTTCACAAATGGTACAACAAAAATCTCAACTCAGAGCCCCAAAATAGCTGTAAGCAAGACATTTGAAGCTCAGTTTCTTCCACTTTCTAACTGGAGAAAGTAGAGGCCAGACAAGGTGGCTCATGCCTGTAATCCCAGCACTTTGGGAGGCTGAGGTGGGCGGATCACCTGAAGTCAGGAGTTCGAGACCAGCCTGGCCAACATGGTGAATCCCCCCGCCCCCAACCCCCCGCTAAAAATATAAATATTAGCCAGGCGTGGTGGTGGGCACC